>NC_000004.12:117406229-117557744 GCF_000001405.40 Homo sapiens
ATGTTAAGAACAAAAGCTTGATCACCTGGATCAAGGCAGTAGATAGGTGAGATAAATGAGATAAACCTTAATAAAAGCAATTAAATGAAAGGCTATTTTCAAGCAATAATGAGAGAGGAGAAATTCAAGACAGACCGTAAGTATAGATTTTTCATGGAATTTTACTCCTTTCTTTTTCCTTTCTCTATCTTTCCCTTGTTGAATAACACTTGTTTCAGTATTTGCATTATTGCTGTATAAACATTATCTTCCAATCAGCTTTACTGGTTTTTCAGATGATAATATGAATATATGTGCCCTAAAGAAAAATAGAAACTATAATCACAAAAATAAGGTACAAGTCTTCTGAAACATTATCAATCTCCCACCCAATCAAAAAACCATAAATATCTATGTATAAATATGCACAAATATTTTTGAGCAATTCTCAGAATTTCAGAGTCTAAAAGTTGCCCCATTTTCCAGTCTTTTATTATGCATTATCAAATTAATGTTTACAAAACTTGTAACAATTTATATATGACAGGAAAAGCAAAACAACTGTTTCCCATCACTCTCCTTAATACTGCATAGATTAACTGGATTTTTAAATATTTACCAATTTTATGGTCATTATTTTGGCTTTACATTTTCTGTATGTTAAATTATCTTTTAGATTTAATGGGGAAGTTTCACATTTTTACTGATTAAAATGATGTCAGCTATTAGATTTAGAAAGGCTTTACAATTATGCTTGCTTTTAATTATAAACATTAATTTTGAACAATGTTATTTTTGCATAAACCTAAATTTAAGATAAGAAGTATAAAATATGATATGACAAAGGTTTTAAAAAATAATATGTCTTCTAGACATGTTACACTTTTTAAAAGTTTTTACTTTCTTCCATGGCTCTTGATTATTTTCTTCAGTTAAAATAGGCTTAAATATAACTTTCTCAGCTCTTCACAACAATTTTATTTTCTTATTTTTGTCTTCTTTATCTACCGCTTACTTATCTATACTTTTATTCTTTCACATGTATTATTTGAATTTGTTAAAAAGCTGGGAGATTTTCTATGAGTGTGATGATTAGGCCACATCCATGTATTTTGAAATACTATTCCCAATTGAAAAATTATTTTAAAAATAGTCAATAATTGCCACTTAACTTCTTTCTTGTTCCAAATGCTATTTTCTATTTAGCAATTTTATCAATAACTAAATATTTTACAATTTTTTCAAGATTTAGTGCCTATTTAGGTCATTGTGGTATGAAACTTCTGTGTATTCTTTCTAATTTTACTTTTCAATTTAATATCATTAGATTTGTTTCTGATAACCTAATCATTTAAATATTGAAAACAGTGTACTATAGAAAGATAAGTTGAGGTACAATAAAATCTTAAGGTATTTACTTAAGAAAACAGTGATTTATGAATTAGAAAGTGTTATAACAAACCAGAGGTGGTTTCAGTCTCCATTGAAGAAACACAAGAGACTGACTTTTATGGAGTGAATACTGAAGTAGAGCAAATAAACTGTTTTACTGGTTACAGTTGCATATGCCTTATTGGTCCATTTTGCTGGAAAGTCCTTAGTTATATAATTACAAGTAAGTTGGTGGTTTTTGGTTGGTTTTTATTTTTCTTTAATGCAAGCATTTACAAGAAATAGTTGAAGTTAAGTTTCTCTTATGTTTGAAAATCAAGCAAGGTTAAGGTCACTTCTGAAGCCTAACTGGCATTGTCTGCTCTGGGATTCTTCAGGCACTGGTCACCATTTTAATTTACTTTAACAGTATGAATTTATGACACTGTTTGTATTTCTTTTCATTTCTCCTAGTATATAAAGAAAATTTGCATTGACTGATGAAGCAGCCTGTATCTGAAACATCAGCAGTAGTCATGGCAGGATATTTTAGGTTATATATATATAAAGAAATGACATTTCATCTGGCATTGCACTACCCAAAACGGGACATGTAGTCATGCCTGAATTCAACAGGGCAAAGATGTGTAATCCTCCCACAGAAAGGACCAATGAAAGAAAAGGAATGAAAATACATGAAAGCAATTAACACAATGTGCCACATATGTTTTTACACATAAACTTACTTCCAAATCTTGTAAAAAATTTAAGTCTAATATCTGTCTTGAAAAGTTTAGGTGGCAGAAATCACTGATAAAACCAAGAGATGATTCTTTTTAACAGAAAATGTTAAAATGTCTACATTCCTAGGTAGAAGTAACATAATTGTTCAGTCTTTAGTATTTTTTAAAACCTTAGAAAAAGTTCCTTTGTCTTTGCTTTGTGTCTTTTGATAGATGCCAGGGGAAAAAATGATATCTCTTTGCAAATGCATTAAAAAAAACTATTTTGTGCATATAATAGTGTTATCTTTAATGCCTTAAAGATAAACAATTGGGCTTTGCCTTCTTATTTTCTACTTTAAACTAGATTTGCCTTGTTCCTCTATTAATGAACATTTAACATCATTTGAATATTAATATAAAATCTATTTAATATATGGCCATTCTAATTCCTTTTATTTTATTTTTATTGTTTTTATATTCATGGTCTTTGTTTCTTACCTGTATCTTATCATATCCTATCAAAACCACTATCTACCTAAATGCTTATAAACTGTGCACTTGTATTTATTTAAAAATGTTATTTTTATTCCTGTGTTGTAGTTTAAAGCCTAAACACAAATGAATTTAACATATCTTATGGATTTGTTAATAGAGTAGGAGGTATTTAGCATCATTTTCATCATATTTTAAACCTGTTTTATTTCTTCATGGGTTTGTACTTTCCCAGTTTCCTTTTTTATAATACCTTTAAGTATTTTGAATCTTAAGTTCAAAGTTATTGAATATCAATTTGCCATTTTATCTCAACTTTTCTGTTATACTAATTTTTTCAACCAATTTTGTTATTTAATATCAATTGGGTTAGAGAAATCCTTGGATTCTTTTCTTCAACCATACTCTTTGGAGTAATGCAATAGACTCATTGTCACAAAATGGGCTCTCCTTTTCAGTTTAGTACCACTTCAATCTCTAAGAGATAGCCACACCATCAATTCTGTTATTAGAAATTAATCACAGGAATGGTCTATGAGACGGTAATACATGACATAAAGTGCTGCTCAGGGAGAAAAATGTTTTTCCAATCTATAATATTTTTTGAGAGTTTGAGGACACAAACTGGAGTATATTAACTCTGCTAGAGGTGTAAAACTATAGGGAACTGAAAGAAGCAAAGAAGCTCTTTCTCCTTATTCTTTGGGGAAAAAAAAACAAGAAGAAATAGAGTCTCAAGTAGAAAAACAAAACAACTGCATCATATGTTTATTTCATGACTTTTTAGAGAAAACATATTTCCTTTCAGGGAGTAAAGTGATCATAAAATTTTCTTTATACCCTAGATTTTCAAAATAGGTAATATCTGCTACTAGAAAAACAAAAAAGTGTAAAATTGCATGTTTTTGTTACCAGAGAGCAAAATTTGTTTAATTAACTGAAATGCCATTGATATTTACTATTTAATCCTGAGTAGCTCATTTAATATTTATTTTTTGGTGTCTATGTGCTCATTATTACATAACATGGAAGGGAGTAGAAAATGTATTAGTTCTCTTAAGAGAGCCAGTTTTCAGCTTTAGTACCTCAAGTTTAAATGTCTGGGATGAGATAGATGCTGGAAGTCACTAAGCTTTAATCAAAACAATATAAGTATTAAAAATGCCCTGATCTGGGAAGAATGTGCCTTAAATGATGATAAGTTAATTAAAATGACAATAAAAATAAAAAGAGGAGGTACAATATTTACACTTGGGTACCTTTTATACATATATGAATAAAGTATAAGTATTATTTTTAAGACTTGTAACTATTGGGCATAGTTTAAAATAAATATCAAAGAAAATTTATGTTTTTCTGTAAAGTATGTGAAAAATTTCAAGGTATATCTTATCACCAGTATATGAAGCTGCTTTAGGCACAGTGATTGTGCCAAATGATAACAGTGATTTTGCAAGTTAAATTCTTTTATTTTAGTTATTTTTTCCACAGTAAGTGAAATTTTCAAGATTACTTCATACATTTACCACTGTGACTTTTTCTTCTAATGTTTAGTACTTTTAAATTACATTTTATAGTGAAAATTTCTTCTACAATCTACCCACTCATTTTTCAAAATAATTTGAAATAAAAAGGTCTACTAAATGAACCTTAATAATGCTAACCTCTGTACTCATGACCTCTAAAAAGAATTAAATAATGCATTTTTCTTTGCAGGTTGTTTTGGCTGTATGAAAGTGTGTGTGTGTGTGTGTGTGTGTGTGTGTGTGTGTGTGTGTGTGTGTATTTCAATTCAAATATACTTGATTCACACAACAATGATGCCACAAGCTCCATACCCAAACATCAGTGATGAAAGTGACTGGACCTGAGAAAGACTTTGCCTAAGGAAACAATGACTGAGTGCTGCTATGGTTTGAACGTCGCCTTCAAAACTCTTGTTGAAACTTAATCCCCATTGTGAAAATATTCAGACATTGGGCCTTAAGAAGTCATTGAAATCGATTAATCCATTCTTGAATTAATGGATTAATGCTTAAATATGGATGGGCTTGAAACTAGTGGTTTTATAAGAAGAGAAAAACAGACATAAGCTGGCATGTTAGCATGCTCAGCACTTTCCACCACGTGATGCCCTGGTGCCACCTCAGGACTCTTCAAGAATACCCACCAGCAATAAGTCTCTCACCAGATCAGCCCCTAGACCTTAGACTTATCAGCTTCCACAACTGTAATAAATTTTTTTTATTTATAGATATTCAGTTTCAGGTATTCTGTTATAAAAATAAAGCAGACTAAGACAGCTTCATAATGGACTCATGCAATTTAGAAGATATAATGATTTACCTTGGCTTATCAATTAAAAGTATATGTCTAGTCTTATAGTCAAATAAGTCATTCATTTCTATTATGCCTTAGAGACAGTATAGAATATAGAAAGTATTTGATGTAAATATTTTAAATATCTAATTAACAACTTGTGATTGTAAGATACTTGCTTACATAACACATACACACACAGACATCTGGAAATCAAGGATTATAGATTTTTTATTTATTTCCAACCCTTGAAAGAATTCCCTGGTATAAAGTGGAAACCTTAATTTGTTGATCAAATAACTAAATATTAAAAATTAAAGACTAAAGCTTTTAAAATGCATTTGAAAGATAGTTTGATGTTTACTTTCAATTTGTTCTGATGTGAACTTGGCTTAGTATCATACAGTAGGATTTAATCCTGAGTAGGACTAATTTCATGGGTGATGAATTACCTGAAAAGCATTTAAGTGGACAGTAGCTCATATGATTTTATCTTTAATTAAAATTGCATATTTTCTTGATTGTGAAAATTTGTGGTTAATTGCAATTAGCAGCATCTTCAGAATACACAATGAGAAACACAAAGTGATTCCAATGCTACATGTAGGTAATTTTGAGGTAAATTCACAGGTCTTTATGGCTCTTATGCAGCCTACCATAGGCTCCAAACTTCAGTCTTTTACTTTTGTTTTAGCTCTTGCTTTAGTCTGAATGTTGGTGTCCCACCAAAAGTTCACATATTGGAATTTAGCCTCTAAAATGATGGTATTAAGAAGTGGAACCTTTGGAAAGTGATTAGGTCATGATAATTCTCATTCATCAAAATCACTCATCAAAGTGATTCTCATGAATGGGATAAATGCCCTTTTAAAATCACTTGAAAAAGTCTGATTATCCTTTCTGCCCTGCCCCTTTAGCCCTGTGAGGTCATTGTGGGAAAGCACTGTCTATGAGGAGTGATCCCTCACCAAATACCAAATCTGCCAGTGGCTTTATTTTGGACTTGCCAACCTCTAGAACTGTGAGAAATAAATGCCCAGTGTTTATAAAATGTCCTGTGTAAGGTAATTTGTTATAGCAGCAAGAATGGACTAAGACATCCTTCTTCCATAGTGACCAATATAATTGGCAGAAAGTATCCCCATTGACTGGATCATTTTGTAGAATAGCCACAGATGATTGCCCTGGTTAAAAATTTGAGTAAAAATGAGTCTATGATCCTTTATTAGCTCTATAGCCCATCTGCTTTACTCTGTCAGCTATATTTTTCAGGATTCTTTGTCATTAGTCTTCTGGTTGAGTTCAGCCAATGAAAGTCACTGGCAGGAGAAAACGGGAAGCCAGTGTATTTTTGACACTCATGATCTCTTAGTGGCAATAGTTGTTACCTGAAATCCAAATTTAACTAGGAGTCCTGCTTGTAATTTAGCCCAGGATCTCACCTGCAGACTAGCTTGCTTCTCTGTCTGTCTTCTCTGTATCTTCAGGTAGCAATACCTCCTCTCTTTACCCCATTAGCCTAGTGGTGGCAACAGCTTCTAGTGTTGCCACCTCTAGGGCACCTCATTATAGCTTTCATTATTTCTGTATTCCTGATAGGTGGACCACGATCAAAACAGGGATAATTAATATACAAAACTCACGAAAAAAGGTGGGGGCTATGGAGAACCAAATGATAGTATTTGACTACATCAAAATTAAGAATTTCTATTCAAGGAGTAATAAGTTCTGATGTACTATTGCACAATAGGGTAACAATAGTCAGCAATAATGTATTGTATACTTCAAAATAATAAGAAGAGAAAATTTTGAATGTTCTCATCACAAAGAAATGACAATTGTTTGAGGTAATAGATATGGTAATTACACTGATTTGATCATTCCACAACATATATGTATATTGAAACATCAAACTGTACCACATAAATATGTATTAATATATTATGTCATTAAAAACAAAATAAAATTTATAAATTTTCAAAAGAAAAATTCTATTCAGTGAATTACTCAAAATACATAATGAAAGGAGAGTTGCCACAGTAGAAGGACATATTTGCAGGATATATAACTAGCACATTTCAGTATCTTGAATGTGAAAAGAAATCTTGCAAGGCATACAAAACTGGAAATCCAATTATAAAATGGGCAATTATATCAATAAGCAGTTCTCAAAATAAGAAGACAGAATGTCGAGTAGGAAAATGAATAGATGCTCAGATAAAAATTTATCTTAATTACATAAATTAAAACAATAATAAGATTCTACTTTCTACCTATTAGTCTCAAAAAAAGGTCCATATACTATTGTTACTGGGGTGTATCATGACTTTAAGGAAAATTATCAAAATGTCTAGGGCCCTTGATTTCCTGCAGGAGAGGATCCTTACTTCAGGATCATGCATAGGTGTCATCATAACTGAATTTTAGAAAGAAATGTATCTTTAGGGAAAAAAAAGGCATCTGCATCATAAATATGAAGTGAACCAGACAAGCTTCTGCTGGCAGCTCATGTCATTGTTGCCATTGAAAATCCAGCTGATGTGACTCATATCTTCTAGGAACACCAGCTATTCTGTGTTACTGAAATGGATTGCATTTACCATCCACACCTATTGCTGCATATACTTCATTCTCAGACTTTACTAAGCAGATCTAGGCAGCTTTCTTGGAGCCCCACGTTTTGCTGGGTGCTGATTACAGCATTGACCTCCCATGAAGGCATGTGATGTTCCTGATCACCATGGCCCTGGGTAACAGAGATCCTCCTCTGTGTTATGTGGACACTGCCATCCATCCAGCAATAAGGAGGTATGCTCACTGGGTCTGATGTGATAGATGCTGGCCCAGGAAGTCTTGTGCATGTGTGGCAGCATTCCTCTTGAGCACCCATGGAAGTCGTGCCTGTCCTCTATTTCTCTACATGTACTAAAGAGATTCTTTTTAAAGCAAGTTGTTATTGAAAAAAAGTACGACCAAGGAGATATGTCAGTGTGAATGGACTTTCCCAACTCCTGAATTTACTGCTACTCCATTTGATATTACAGACTGGCCTGAAGTCTTGCAAGTTTCCCTCTTAGACTATTCATTCTTACCTATTGGAGACTAGGGTGTTCAGCCCATGACTGAAGACAGGTCAGCAACAACGTCTGCTCAGGCTATTGAATATTCTTCCTCTTCTCCCACATGTTCTTAAACAGCATATGGAGAAATATCTGAGAGGAAACAAGCATTAATTTCAGTTTTTAAAATTGTGGTACTTTGAATGCTAACAAGAAAGCAAGAAACAGGAATATTCACACAGAGGTTATCAGCAATTAAGGAATGGAAAAAGGCACTAACAAGAGATAATTAGCTTATGCACTAGGCCTATTAATCATTCTCGTAGCTCTAGCTCTCATACATGGGTAAGAAGACCTTTACAAGGTGATTTATTTTAACATTATATGTATGAAGAAACAGCTGGAGATAAACTCTGCTACATAGTGGCCAGGTGGTCAGGTAAGGAACTAAATCTGATAAAACTAGATCTGAAACAGAATGTTAAATAACAAAAATAGAAAGATAAAAATGTGAGATTTATTGTGCAGATTATTGGGGTAAATTTAGAACTAAACTGATTTTTACACTGGTTTGAATATTTAAATACATGTACAGAAAAGTTCATTGGAAAGATATACATTAACACAAGCATGTGTGCTATTGATAGGAAGGTAATGGGAGGTTAAGGGTAAAAGCAATAACAAAATATAGAAGCAAAAATGGACAAAACAATGGCAGAAGTTTATGAATTTAAAAGAATGAACAAGTTAATCTGTACCTCTGAGGTCATGTTTTCTAAATTGAAACAATTATCAGGCTTATTTGATTAACCTAAAAATACTTGCTATGTAATTACACAGCCACCTTGGTACTTGCTAATGTAAATAACAATTGGTTGTGTTCACAAACCTGCTTATGGTAGACTGTGAGGGTCTAATTTGTATATATTTGAATATGCACATTAGTTTAAAATATGATACAAAATAGTTACCATAAAATTTTCTCTGATGATTCGTTTATAAAATTTAAATTGATTTTCAAAAGTTATTCTAGAATCATCTAATATGTATCATTGATATCAGAAATGTTTGGGTTTTAAAATGGAGTGCATTTTCCAAAAGAGATGATACTGTTACTTTGGCATATTTTAAGGAACAAATAACTATGAGCATTTTTCAGGTGAATTTGTTGTATTCGACTTGAGTGATTGAAAGTCAGGATTAAAGTAACCAGTGACTCTAAGGCAAACTTTAGTGCACGATTCTTCAGAATGCTTAACACTCCTAAAAATATTATTGACTCAAGAACTGATGTGTTGAATCACTTTGTCCTAATCAACTGTGAAAATTAAATGTTAACTTCCCTTAATATTTTATATATTTCTTCTATGTGCAAGAGACGAAAAAGTGGTTAAACATTGGCACAAGAATAGAAGAGAACAATATTCTAGATCATCTAGACCACATTTTTTTTTGTTTCTGGATACAATCAAACAGGGCTTGGTTCAACAATCAATGAAAAATTTTTATTACTTGTCATCTCTATATTCTCTGATAAACTGAGGTCACACACAGACACATTGAAGTTATTAATGATATAGTGAAAGGCACCCAAGAACTTTATCTTAATCACTCATTCATTCATTCATTCATTTTTATTCAATAGAGATTGAACATGCTCCCTGTGGGAAGTAAAAATTGAATTTCAGAGTTGCTAATAAAGGATTAATTTATATCTATATCAAATCCTAAATATTTTCCACATAAACAGGCAATTATATAAAGCACTCATGCTCGGTTAAAGTCTGATGAGGATTTGAAGGTAAACATACGACAGCTAAGGGGTAACTGACAATGTGATAAATCAAAATAAATCTCAGCAAGATGAACTATACAGACAGAAGAAAAGTAATTATTAGAATTACCCCCTTGTATGATAATTTCATAGATATTTAGCTTTAAAAAGTATATTTTATGAAAAGAAGTGTGTGAAATGACAAAATATAAATACAACAAAGAAACATGTTTCAGTGCTATCTAATGTATTCTCTTGTGTGATTCCACACTTTATTTTTAAAAAGCCTAGCTTATATCTGAAATCTTGGATTTATCTCAGGGACAGGTGGATGTGTGTCATGAATCAGAAAGCCTCTGCTATGCACCCAACCAAATATTGGACACAGGGTTTTAATGGATCCATTTCTCTCTCTCTCTCTCATACACACACACACACACACACACACACACACACACACATACACACACACACACACACACACCTCAGCTGGAAACTGTACAGAGTTCTGTCTTTACAGAGTTCTCTTTCTGTCCTCTTCTGTTTGCTCTGCCAACATATGAAGGGTTGTTTGGTGATTATAACTAATGGGCAGAACACTGGTTCAGACAGCTTTGGACGATAGTGAACGCAGCAGGGTATAAAGCTGTTCTAAAGAACAAAGGTCTGACTTCTGCAGTTAGAGGTACATGGCCTTTGTGTAGAATGCTGGGCAGATGACCTTTGATGAACACATTATTTAACTCTCTTTGAATGTTCATGATTTCTCTATGAAATGTTGTTTGAATAAAAATGCTCTTCCCAGTTGGCCACAGGCCACACCACCTCCGTTGTGTCTGAACTCTGAGGGCATTTGAGATTGGGATCACAGCAGTAAGAATTTGGTTTTCTATGCAATATGTACTTTAATACATCTATCCAAATAGCAAGTAGATAAAGTATCAGGTGTGTTGAATATTATTATAAAAAGTCAGTTAAATTGTGTCAGGGTTTAACTAAAGAGCAGAAATGGTAGATCATATAAATATACACAGACACACAGACACGCACAAACATAGGCACACATATGGCTTACTACAAGTAATCTGCTTACACAATCATGAGGGCTGACTCAACTATCCCAAAGTTCACAGAGCAGTCAGAAAGGGAGGATCAATGTGGAAGGAAGTTTGATTACAGCCCCAGGTGTTGCTAAAAATCTCTGATGTCTGATGTCTTGTCCAGTCTCTCTTTAAGGGACGCCAATGGGATTAGGTCAGGCCCACTTGAGATAACCTCTATTTTAATTAACCCAGAATTAACTTCTTTGGAACTCTAATTACATCTGCAAAGTCCCTCCACAGCAGCAAGTACACTAATGTGTGATTGAATAACTGGAACAAAGTGGGTGTATGCTACCAAACAGCTGCTGTCTCCTTTCCAGATCTAACTTACGGAAGAGAATAGCTCTTGTTAGCCTACCCTATCTGAAAACACGTTAGAAAAATAATTGTGACGAATGTGCTAGTCTAGCCAGGTTGATATATTATAACACCAACACAAAAATAAACTTGTTTAAATTTATATATATGAGTTCTTTTAGTACATATTTAACTTTAGTCAAACACCATCCATCTATACTCTTACTTAGTTTTAGAGATAAAATTATACAAATACTGTGATGCTTCACATAATGAACAGATGCAATTCTTGATGTGACGTAACATAATGGAATAATTCATTTCATTGTGTGTTATCAAGAATGTACTAAATTCAAGGTAGTTTACTGGAACAGTAAATACAGAAATTTTATACCATTACCATTTTGCTTAAAGAGCTCAAAGTCTATAGAGAGGTTTTGTTTTTCTTAATACAAAATTTCATTTAAGTGCTATAATAGACATAAACAACAGTATTGAAAGATAGAGAAAAGGTAAAAAGGCACCTAAACAAGTATGAAGGTGTTAGAAATGTTTTAAATTATGATTGATGCTTCAGCTTAGCTCTGCATGCATTTAGCCACTGTGAAACTGTAGAATAGGGGGAAATTGCTTTCAGGCAGAAGGAAAATGATATGTGAGGAAAATCGTGAAAACTTTTTTCAGAGTGCCTCAAACAGCATTTCTGAGTTCTCTGAGTCATTCTAGTGAATCATTAAAAGTTGAGGATTGTTGACACATAGAGTAAATGAAGGATATTTTGGTTTGGTTTGGTTTCTGGTTTTTGTCTCTATAGAAAAGACAGGAAAAGAAGATCTGGGACCTCTAACACCCATCTACATTAGTTTTTCTTCTTCTGTTATTTCCTCTTATTAAAAAGTGAACATAGGCTGGGTGTGGTGGCTCACACCTATAATCCCAAAGTTTTGGGAGGACGAGGCAGGTGGATCACCTGAGGTAAGGAGTTCCAGACCAGCCTGGCCAACATAGGGAAACCCCGTCTCTACTAGAAATACCAAAAATTAGCCGGGTGTGGTGGCTCACGCCTTAGTCCCAGCTACTCGGGAGGCTGAGGCAGGAGAATTGCTTGAACCTGGGAGGCAGAGGTGACAGTCAGCTGAGATCACTCCTGTGCACTCCAGCCTGGGTGACAGAGTGAGACTCTGTCTCAAAAAAAAAAAAGTGAATATAAAATACCAAAATATAATCTTCTAAAACCAATTATGAGATTTAAACCAAGAGTCCCTACCAAATATTCCATATTTTGGATTCTCATTAAATTTTATAGGTTGTGAATACAAATCAAATGGTTACCTAAAAGTAATGCCATTTAACATGATATAAATTCAACCACTATTAGAGCAAAAGAATGTTTTAATGAATAACAATCTGTGCATTTTAGTGAAAAATTAAAAAACACTAAATTACAAATGGATTGAGATTGTATTTTCAAAAATTGTCATCCATATACAAATTTACACATATAACTAATACTATCTAAAATGTGAAAGCCATATCAGTCATAAATTGACATGGATGTATAGATGTCCATTGAACTTGTCTTCTAAAGAAACGTCGCAAAAAATTAAGTCATCATATCACAGAGTATTTTCTCCCTGTCCCTACTTGTTTATGATGGATTATTCTAATTTAACGTTTAAATTAAGTAATTGTATATAAGTAGTCTTTAAATCAAATGTTACTAAAAATCATATGGACAATTACCACTCCCTTGTCTCTTTATTATTTGTATTTTCTCTTTATTCTCACTACTTGATTTTTCGTTACTATTTATCTTGATTTTCTCTACTTGATTTTTTTCACTACTTGATTTTTTGTTTTCCCTCTTTATTTTCACTACTTTATTTTTTGTTGCTATTTATTTAATGATTCTTAGATACCCACTCTAATTTAACAGTGAAGCATTTACAGTGGATGAAAAACTGTACTTACAGTTTGGACTTGTTTACCGATAGGTCTCAATCTGTGGTGATTTGTCAGTGATATTGCTATTGCACTGGAATATAACCAATGGTCTAAAGGCCATATATATTTTACTCTTGGGCTATTTCGTTTCTTCAGGGAGAAAATCTCTCAGTGTTCTGTGATCTAAGTGAACAAAGAGGACGGGAATTTGCTGATTTCAGTACTGCACCACTCTGACCATCTCCTCATACCTTTCCCCTTTATAGCTGGGATACCTAATTCAGTGGGAAGATGATGTATCCACAGAGCTGCAAAAAATAACAGCAGCACCTATGCTAACCCTTGTACCCATACAGGCAGATGCCATGGTATTTGACAGGTTAAGAATTAGAGTACTCTTGCTCTCCTGCTTTGTATTAGAGTGTTCATAGCTGATCCCAATGTTGCTACATGGGCCATGTCATCACCCATCCCAACGCTTCCTTAGAGATATGCTGTGTAAAAAGTTTTGGCTACTGATATGTTCATTTTTAGGTACATATAAACTTAAAAATGGGCCTAGGGCCAAATAAAAGAAAAATTGTGTGAAGTTGGAAATGTACAATTGTATAATGATAATCCTCTCCTATCCCTTCATACCACATCCTGATCCCAGAAACTTTTCCAATAGAACCTGAGCATATTTACTCTCATATTTAATTTTTGTGCTAATTTATTTGACTAAGCCAACCTTTAATTGTCAAAAAGTCCAAAATTTTAAAGATAGTGATAAGTATATTATATCCATGTAATATTACTTTTCTTGACCATTTCTGTACAGCAAAGTGCGTACCATAATCAGAAGAAATATATTCAGGCAGCCTGGGTAGCAAAATTGATTTTTCTGTTTCATACCTTTAATTGTGTCCTCTGAATTTTATATTTTAACTAATAAGCAATGCCTAAAATAGAACAGAATAACATCTGTTAGCATCCAGTTGTAGACCTGGAGGCCGCTGATGAAAATCTAAAGTAATTCACTCACCTATTCCGTAGGTCCTTGCCCTTGGGGAATTCAACTCAAGGGGATTTTCAATGAATTTCATTCTGGTTAATATTTGGGTGACTTGTATTCTTTTTCTTTTAAAAATTATATTAGCTATTTCATTGTGTGCAATTAAAATGTTTTGCCTTCTAGCCCGACAGTGCTTGGCAGCAGCACCAACATGCCTCCTCTTTTCATGAAACTAGGTAGTCAGCACTACAATTCTAAGGACTTTGCCTTAAAATTCCAGTGAGCTAACATATGAGTTGTTCTGTGTGTGTGTGTGTGTGTGTGTGTGTGTGTGTGTGCGTGCATGTTTCACATAACCCATTCTAATTTTCCCTCAAAATTCCCACAGAAATTCATAACTGATTGTTTCATACAGGAGAGTTTTTATTGTGCAATTATCTAGGGTTCATTTGCCTAACTATACAGCAAAGCCATTGACTAAAGCCCAAGTATTTGATTATCTGTTCACATCACTGATAGGGGAAATGTAAATACTCTTCTACTGATAAAAGGTTTAACTTTACTCACTGTTCAGGCTTTTCTTTTCTTCCATAAAGATTGTGTCATCTGCAGAGAATATTGATGCCAATTTTTCTATTAATAGTAATGTGCACATGTACCCTAAAACTTTAATAAAAAAAAATAGTAATGGCCTTCTATCCACAAACTATTAGTAAACCAAAGAGGCTGCATTTTCTCTAATAGCAGAGTTTTGAGCTTGGACAAGGCAGCAACGGGAGTGGAGAGTTAATCAGAGAGATTTATCATGGATGCCATGGGGAGTGAAGCAAACTGCTTAAGTATGTGGTGGACTTTTCCCTGAAATCCCTCCCTCTACCCTTCTCCATTCCATGCTGTTGATTACTCTACTGTCACTTTATGAATGAGGTATCCTATGCCACCCTTATCTATTGAATGTCTTTCTGATATCACCCAAAGTTTGTTCAGCATAGCTGGGTTTATCTGAGGCCCATCAGTGTTAGTAGTAATCTGTGTCAAAGCTGAGTCACATTTTAAGGTAGAAACAATTAATATATTCATTTTTCAAATAAGAAAGTAGAGAAATTAAGTGACCTGTACAAAATCATCCAGCTGCAATAGCAGACCTTGAGGCCAAAGCCAGGCCTCTTTGTCTTTGACACTGAGTTTATTAATCTGTATCACATACCACTAAATTTCTCCAAGTGTTCTTTTTTGGCTCTAATAAATATATACACGTGGCTTCTTAAAATAGTATTTACCTAGTTAATTGGTTTTTAAAGTTTCTTTATTTATTAATTCATCTACTCATTGAAGTCGTAAATGTCAATTTCCACTGTGATAATACTAAACTACCATAATTTAGAATTATTGGACCTCCAAAATAATAAGGATTTATTAGCATATGTTGCATAGTGGTGCCTAATTAACCTAAATTAACTATGTAAAAGAAATACTGACTAGAATAAACATTAGAGACATCTGTGGCTCTAAGTAAACATTAGAGACATCTGTGGCTTACCACAATAGAAGTTTGCTTCTCAATCACATAAATTAAAAAGTAGATGTTCCTGATCTGTGGCAGGAAAGAGGAAGGGCAGCGGCCTCAGTTGAAGACAAGCATTCAGGAACCAAAGCTGACCGTTTCCGGCATCAGCAACGTGTGACTTTTAAGGTTGTCCATTGCCCTCCAGGCTGCAGGATCAAGAAGAAAGAAGGTGGAGAAATCATATTCACATATTAATCACTTTGGCAGGGAATATAGGCAGTTTTTTATGTTCTCCTTTTATTCCTAGAAAATGTTGATCATGGTTTGGCTGCCAGTTTGGGGCAACAACTCTATGCCGTGGAAAAGGACCATGATTTTTTTATTGCACAGATAGCTGTCCCTGCTGCAGATAGAATTCTAGTATTTTGGAAAACTTCTTATGAAAACTTTGACAGTTCTTAAGCCGATGAGTAATTTATCAAATAAAGTGTTTAAAGATGTTTATAACTGATGTGTGCTTGTTTAGTTAGCTATAAGTCATAAACAAAGAGAAAAAAAAATGTGGCAGGGCCAGGAATTTAGCAAAACGGAAGCAGTATAAATTATTGTGTCCAAGCCTGATAGCACAGGGTTAGGCTAGCTTATGTAGTCATAAAAGTCCAACAGGGGTATTCATAAATTCCTTGTCATGGAACAAATGCAGGAGTGGTACTCAAGAGAAGAGGTTTTACAGTCCCGCGATGTCCTTGTTATTCTCCGCATTGATCTCCAGTAGCTGCCTGACTGGAAGTACGTATTACAAAAGGCTGATGAAACTGTGAAAGCCTCAGAGAAGTAAGGCACTCAGTACTTCCTATGGCATAATGAAGATATATGCAGTTACATGAAAATTAAGATGGTCCCAGATCAATAATGTAAACCAAATAATAAAAAAGACAAACTTCTGTTTCTCTAAGAAAGAAACTTACAGTGAAACTGTAGATCACAACTAATTTGTGAGGTTGTAATGTACAAAGTATGCTTAAGATTTCAAGGTTCTTGTATTGCTTATCTGAATGAAATTAAACACATATATCATTCTAACAAATATCTCCCAGCAGATTATGAACTTTGAAAATGGGGAAAGGAATTAAAGGCAATGTATTTTATATGTGTGTTCCTTCTTCTCAGGTTCAGTTATTTCCCCACAAAAAATTTATGTTTTCTATTCAACAGACATTGACCAGTCTTTTAATAGATGCTGCTTGCTAAAATAGTGCAAAAACTTACTCTCAAAAACAATAAACGCAACAGCTCTCATTTATCTAATCATCTAAGTGACAAATCTAGTAGCCCATTTCAAAATAGTAGAAAGGGGTGTAGAGATATGACTTGATTCTTTTCTTTGAACTTTTATTTTAAGTTCAGGGTTATATGTGCAGATTTGTTATAAAGATAAACTTCTGTTGTGGGGGTTTGCTGTAGAGATTATTTCATCACCCAGGTATTAAGCCTAGTACCCATTAGTTATTTTTTCTGCTCCTTTTCCTCCTCCCACACTCCAACCTCCAGTAGGCCTAAATGTCTATTGTTCCCATTTATGCGTCCATGTATTCTTATCTTTTAGCTCCTACTTATAAGTGAGAACATTTGGTTTTGGTTTTCTGTTCCCATGTTAGTTTCCTAAATATAATGGCCTCAAGCTCTAACCATTTTCCTGCAAAGGACATTATTTCATTTTTATGGCTGCATAGTATTCCATTGTGTATATGTACATTTTCTTTAACCTGTCTATCACTGATGGGCATGTAGGTTGATTCCATGTCTTTGCTATTGTAAACAGTGTTGCAATGAACATATATGTGAATATGACTTTATGAAAGAATGATTTATATTCCTTTGGGTATATACTTAGTAATGGTATTTCTGTTTTTAGGCCTTTGAGGAATCACCACACTGTCTTCCACAATGATTGAACTAATTTACAGTCCCACCAGCAGTGTATAAGCATTTCTTTTTCTCTTCAGCCTCACCAGCATCTGTTATTTTTTGACTTTTTAATAATAGCCATTCTGACTGTTGTGAGATGGTATCTAATTGTGGTTTTGATTTTATTTCTCTAATAACCAGCTTTTTTCATGTGCTTGTTGGCTGCACATACATCTTCTTTTGAAAAGCATCTGTTCATATTCTTTCCCCACTTTTTAATGAGTTTGTTTGTTGTCTTCTTGTAAATTGGTCTAAGTTTCTTATAGATGGTTGTCAGGTGCACAGTTTGCAAAATTATTCTCCCATTCTGTAGGTTGTCTGTTCCTTTAATGATAGTTTCTTTTTCTGTGCAGAAGCCCTTTATTTATCTCCCATTTGTCAATTTTTGCTTTTGTTGCAATTGCTTTTGGTACCTTTGTCATAAAATCTTTTCCCCTGATCCTATATCCAGAATGTGATGGCCTAGGTTGTGTTTCAGAGTTTATATTATTTTGAATTTAACATTTAAGTTTTTAATCTATAATGAGTTAATTTTTATTTATAGTGTCAGGAAGGAGTCTAGTTTCGATCTTCTGTATATGTTTAGCCAATTCTCCCAACACCAATTATTAAATAGTGAGTCCTTTCCCCATTTCTTGTTTTTGCCAAGTTTGCTAAAGAGCAGATAGTTGTAGGCATGTGGCCTTATTTCTGGGTTCTGTATTCTTTTCCATTGATCTATGTGTCTGTTTTTTGTACCAGTGCCATGCTGCCTTGATTACTGTAGCCTTGTAATATGGTTTGAAGTCAGGTAGCATGATGCCTCCAGCTTTATTCTTTTTGCCAAGATTGTCTTGGCTATTTGGGCTCTTTTTGGCTCCATATGAGTTTTAAAATAGTTTTTTTTCCTAGTTCTGTGAAGAATATTAATGGTAATTTAATAGGAATAGTGTTGAATTTGTAAATTCCTTTCAGCAGTAGGATCATTTTAATGATATTGATTCTTTCTATCCATGACCATGGAAGGTTTTTCCATTTGTTTGTCCCATCTCTGATTTCTTTGAGCAGTGTTTTGTAGTTCTCTTTGCAGAGATCTTTCACCTCCCCAGTTATGTATTTTATTCTTCTTGTGGCAATTGTGAATGAGATTACATTTCTGATTTGATTCTCAGCTTGACTGTTGTTAATGTATAGAAATGTTAGTGACTTTTGCACATTGATTTTTGTATCTTGAGATTTTGCTGAAGTTGTTAATTAGCTTAAGGAGCTTTTGGGCTGATTCTATGTGGTGTTCTAGATATAGAATCATGTCATCTGCAAACATGTGTATTTTGACTTCCTCTCCTTCTATTTGGAAGCGCTTTATTTCTTTCTCTTGCCAGACTGCCCTGGCCAGGACTTTCAATACTATGTGGGATAGGCATGGTGGACAGGGCATTTTTGTCTTGTGCTGGTTTTCAAGGGTAATGCTTCCAGCTTTTGGCCATTCAGCACAATGTTGACTGTGCATTTGTTCCTTCTTTTTTCAATTATTTGTAGCTTTTATTTTAAGTTTGGGGTTACATATGAAGGCTTGTTATATAGGTAAACTCATGTCATAGGGATTTGTTGTATAGATTATTTAATCACTCGGGAATTAAGCCCAGTAGTACCCAATAGTTATCTTTTCTGTTCCTCTGCCTCCTCTCACTCTCTGCCCTCAAGGAGACTCCAGTGTCTGTTGTTTCCTTCTTTGTTGTTCAAAAGTTTCATCAATACCCAGTTTATTGAGCGTTTTTAATGTGAAGAGGTGCTGAATTTTATCAAAAGCCTTTTATGCATCTGTTGAGATAATTATGTGGATTTTGTCTTTAGCTTTTTTTATATGATAAATCACATTAATTGATTTGCATATGTTCAACCAACCTTGCATCCTGGGGATGAAGCCTGCTTGATAATGGTGGATTAACTTTTGGATGTGCTGCTGAATTCAGTTTGCAAGATTTTGTTTTGAGGATTTTTGCATTGATGTTCATAAAAAATATTGGCCTGAAGTTTTATTTTCTTGTTGGGACTCTGCCAGGTTTTGATCAGGATGATGCTGGCCTCATACAATGAGTTTGGAAGAAGTTTATTCTCCTCAATTTTTTGGAATAGTTTCACTGGGAATGGTACCAGCTATATTTTGTACATCTGGTGCAATTCAGCTGTGACTCTGTCAGATCCTGTGCTTTGTTTAGTTGGTAGGCTATTTATTACTCATTCAATTTTAGAGCTTGTTATTTGTCTGTTCAGGACATTACTTTATTCCTGGTTCAGTCTTGGGAGGTTGTATGTGTTCAAGAATTTATCCATTTCTTTTAGGTTGTCTAGTGTATGTGCATAGAAGTGTTCATAGCAGTTTCTGACGGTTATTTTTATTTCTGTGGGGTCAGTGGTAACCTTCCTTTCATCACTTCTAATTGTGTTTATTTGAATCTTCTATCTTTTCTACTTTGTATATTCTAGATAGCAGCCTATTTTATCACTTTTTTCAAAAAAATGAAGGCCTGAATTCATTGATCTTTTGAAGGGTTTTTTTATATGTGCCAGAAATTCTGGTATGTTGTGTCTCTGTTCTCATAAGTCATTCAGGTGCATGTTGTTTAATTTCCATGTAATGTCATGGTTTTGGACAATTTTCTTAGTCTTGGCTTCTATTTTTATTTCACTGTGGTCCGGCAGTGTGTTTGTTATTATATCAATTCTTTTGCATTTGCTGATGATTGTTTTATGTTCAGTTATATGGTCAGTTTTAGATTATGTGCCATGTGGCAATGAGAAGAATGCATATTCTGTTGTTTTGTAGTGGAGAGTTCTATAGAGGTCTATCAGATCCTTTTGGTCCAATGTTGAGTTCAGGTTCTGAATATCTTTGCTAATGTTTCTGCCTTGGTGATCTATCTAATGCTGCTAGTGGTGTGTTGAAGTCTAGCCCTATTACTGTGTTGAAGTCTCAACATGAAGGGGTGTTGAATTTTATTGAAAAGGTTTTCTGCTTCTATTGAGATAATCATGTGGATTTGTCTTTAGTTCTGTTTAAATGATGAATCACATTTACTGATTTGTGTATGTTGAACAAACCTTACATCCTAGGGATAAAGCCTACTTGATCATGGTAGAAAAGATACTTGAAGTGTTGTCGGATTTGGCTTGCCAGTATTTTGAGGATGTTTGCATAAATGTTCATGAAGGATATTGGCCTGAAATTTTTCTTTTTTGTTGTGTTTCTGTCACGTTTTGGTATCATGATAGAATGAGTTAGGGAGGAGCCTCTCTTCCAGAATTTTTTGGTGTAGTTTCAGGAGAAATGATACCAGCTCTACTTTGTACATCTGGTACAATTCAGCTGTAAATCTATTTTGTCCTGGGATTTTTTTTGGTTGGTAGGCTATTTATTACTGATTCAATTTCAGAGCTGATTATTGTTCTATTTAGGCACTCAATTTTTCCTGGTTCAGTCTTGGGAGAATGTCCATGTCCAGGAATTTATCCATTTCTTCCAGATTTTCTACTTGATGTGCATAAAGGGGTTCATAATATTATGTGATGGTTATTTGTATTTCTGCAGGGTCAGTGGTGATATGCCCCTTGTTGTTTCTGAATGTGTTTATTTGAATCTGTTCCCTTATTTTTTATTAGTCTATTTAATGGTCTATTTATTTTATTAATATTTTCAGAAAACAGGCTGTTTAATTTGTTGATCTTTAGAGTGGTTTGGGTTTTTTTGTATCTCAATATCCTTCAGTTCAGCTCTGATTTTGCTTATTTCTTGTCTTCTGCTAGCTTGGGGTTGATTTATTCTACTTTCTCTAGTTCTTTTAGTTGTGACATTAGGTTGTCAAGTTGAGATCTTTCTAACTTTTTGATGTGAGCATTTAGTGCTATAAAATTCCCACTTAACCCTGTGTTAGCCGTGTCCCAGAGATTCTAGCATGTTGCACCTTTGTTCTCATTACTTTCAAAGAGCTTCTTGATTTCTCGCTTAATTTCATGATTTACCCATAAGTCATTCAGGAGCAGGTTATTCAATTTCCATGTAATTGAATGCTTTTGAGTGAAATACGTAGTCTTGGTTTTTAACTTTCCTGTGCTGTGGTCTGAGATAGTGCTTGCTATGATTTAAGTTCTTTTGCATTTGCTGAGGAGTGTTTTACTTGTGATTATGTGATCGATTATATAGTATGTGCCATATGGTGATGAGAAGAATGTATATTCTATTGTTTTCTGGTGCAGAGTTCTGTAGATGTCTATCAGATCTATTTGAACCAATGCTGAGTTTAGGTCTTGAATGTTTTTGTTAATTTTCTGCTTCGATGGTTTATCTAATGCTGTCAGTGGAGTGTTGAAGTCTCCTGCCAATATTATGTGGGAGTCTAAGTCTCTTTGAAGGTCTCTAAGAACTTGCTTTATGAATTTGTGTGCTTCTGTGTTGGGAATATATTCTGAATTTGATTGGTGGCCTTTCTAGCTATGTTGAGGGGGTTCTTATGGATGATATCCTGAAATATGTTTTTCAAGTTGTTTCCATTCTCCCCATCTCTTTCAGAGAGAGCAATGAGTCATACATTTGGTCTCTTTACATAATCCCCTATTTCTCTGAGGTTTTGTTCATTTATTTTCCTTCTTTTTTCTCTGTTCTTGTCTGACTGTCTTATTTCAGAAAGGCAGCCATCAAGCTCTGAGATTCTTTCCTCCACTTGGTCTATTCTGCTACTAATACTTGTGAGTACCTTATGAAATTCTTATAGTGCATTTTTCAGCTTTATCAGGTTGATTGGTTCCATTTTTTTTCTACACTGCCTGTTTTGTCTGTCTGTTCCTGCATTGTTTTAATGTGATTTTTAGCTTCCTTGGAATGAGTCTTAATATACATCTTTAGCTCAATTATCTTTTTTCTTATCCTTAGTCTGAATTCTATTTCTGTTATTTCAGCAGCTCAGCCCAGTTCAGAACTCCTGTTGGAGAGATGATTCAGCTGTTTGCAGGAAAAAAGGCCCTCTGACTTTGTGAGTGTCAGGGATTTTGTGCTGATTCTTTCTCGTCTTTGTGGGCTTGTCTTCCTTCAGTCTTTGACATTGCTGACCTTTTGATTTTTTTTGTTTGTTTGCTTTTATCTTATTTGATTCCCTTGAGGGTTTGATTGTGGTATAACATGGATTCAGTTGACTGGCTTCATTTCCGGAAGATTTTAGGGGACCAACACTGTGCTCCCAAATCCTGAACTGTGTGTTCTAACTGGGGGACATATATTGGGCTCCAACTTTGCTCTCTGGCTTCTCAAGGTTAGGAATCTACTGAGCTCGGGGAATCTGAGGTGCTCCCAGACCCCCAGTTACTACACTCCAATGGATGGTGTCAGCCAAAGCCTTTCACAGTGCAGTGACAGCAGGATCCATCCTCACATTCCAGCAATAGCAGTAGTGGCAGCTGTGGCAGAGTGCTAGTGGGTTCTGCAGTGCCTGCCTCCCTTGCAGCTTGGTTGGTGGGGAAGGTGGGGCTGGCTGGGGACCCCTGCTGGAGACTGTGTGAACAGTTGTGCTGAAGGTAGTGTTGGCTCAGGGACCAGGCAATGGCAGGCGCAGGTCTGGGTAACTTCTTTGTTCCCTTCAAGCAGGAGTGATGGCTCAGGGCAGAGGAGGATCCACTGTTCTCTGCATAGTGTTAGTACAAGGGTGGGGTGCTTGTAGGTATGGGGCTTGCTGGCTCTGTGCCCTCCAAGGCTCTGTCTGCAGTGGCATTCTGGAAGGGAAGGGGAGGCAGACTGGACTCCAATGTGCTGTCAGTGCTAGGAAAGCAAAACCTGCCTGCACAGACATACACCAACAGAGCAATCTGGGGAGTTGCCCTGAGCCCAGGCGGGAAGCTGCAGTATAGGGAGGGAGCATGTGGGCTGGGGCCTCGAAGTAGGTGCTGCCCCACTGGAGCTCTCTGCCAGTTCCGCACAGTCTACCAGTGCAGAAACTATGACACAGGCCCCCAGACCACTCGGGGCTGACCTGCAAGCAGGCATGGTCATGGTGGGGCTGTGGGAGAGGCCAGCACACCAGGGAGCGCTCAGATCAGACTGGCCCTATCTGTTGGACAAGACCACCCTGTAGTGTTCAGATCCAGCAGTTCCTCTAGGGCTAATGTTTCCTATGGGAGCAAGTCAAGCCTAGCAGGATGGCCATCTCTGGCCTTACTCTGCTACAGATGCTCCTGCACCAAACCCTCTGGGATCCACATCAGCTGGCTTACTGCCCCTACCACTTCTCTAAACAGCTCTCCCTGCCAATTCGAATGCCTGTGATGGTTGAGGGGTCTCCTGCTGGTGGTCCAGAGGCCTGTGGTGAGGGCAGATTGCTGTTTGCCATTTCAACTCACCCATTCCTCCAGAGCCATTGGTGGTCAGGAATGAGTCCGGGTGCAGTTTATCTCCATGTAGGGCTCCCAACGTTCTCCTCCTTCTGCCCAGCTTCCATGTACTCCCTCTGTTCACTCTGGAGAAGATCTGTTAGGAGCATGTTAGGAGCATGCCAGTCGTCTCAGTCTTCAGGTAGGAGCTGTTCCACCTGTCTGCATTTAGTTGGCCATCTTACTGGATATGATTCTTTTGCTATACCAAAGCTATGATCAACTGCCAGTCCCTAATGAAAGCAGTGAATGAAAAGGTGTTAGATTGCCATAAGAAAATTCATTAAACATATGATACCCACTGTTTGTCAGAAATGCAATAGCGACAGCCTGCCAGGGAGAAAACAGCAACTTACAATAGTTTATCTTAAGGTGAACTTATCCTTTATGCCAGTTTCATCTTCCAATAATAGTAGATTAAAAGGATGAAACTAAACTGTATTTAGAGCTATTTGGTTACATATATTCATGATTTTAAATAATAGATGTGCTGCATACATTAGATGACCAGGCCCTTATTTTTTTCATGTAAGGTAACATATTCAAAGGTTCCAGGGATTAGAATGTGGACTTCTTTGGGGTATACATTATTCTTTGGGGGTCATTATTCAGCCTACCCCAATAAGTTTGAGGTGATTTATAAGAATGGCCTAGAAAATATGTTACACAGCTATGACTACCATGTTATAAATAAGCCAGTCAAAAGTTATTTTTGCTGTGAAAGTCCGGTGTTTCTGAAAAATGGAAAGTGAAGAACTCAAAAGTCATTTTTGTTTTTTCACAGAGGAACAACTTACATAGTTCTTTTTCTTCTTGTGTGTATGGTATTTTAATATTTTTACCAAATAAGATTTTTCATGAAACTTGTAATTTTCTAATTTTCTTTTAGCAGTTTCTTCTGTTTCTAGAAGTCATATAAGTGTTTTATTAGAAAACTGGATAAATAAAAATAAACATAAAGCTATAAAACAAAGTATGAATTCAGGAATCATATTGCTCAAGAACACACTGATAATATTTTGGTAATATGTCTAATAGTCTGTTTCTCCTACTATTTATATCTAGAAACATTTTGCTTCAATAAAGTACATATTATAATAACTCACATGGATTCAGCACTTAAGATATAGCAGAGACTGTACTATGGACTATCAAAAAGGCCATGAGTACATGGAATATACATATATATATATATATATATATAATGTTAGCCATGCTTAAGTACTATAATTTAATAAATTTTTGAGTCATAGGTTATGACTTTTGACACATTGGGATATATTATTTTTCAGAAAATGTATACTTTCAGTCATGTCAGTGTATGCAGTACTTTCTTGAGGAAGTAGGTTTTTGAATCCAGTTTTTGATTCCTTCTTGACTCCCCCAGTTAGGAGTGTAGAATATGGCCCAAGGAAATCTCATAGAATGACTAGGCATTCCTTGCCTCGTACTATGATTTTTATCTAAAACTTTATGCCAAAGAAGGACACTCTTGCTGTATACTAGAGCACTTTTAGAACATTTAAGAACTCAGATGCCCAACTTCTTGTACTACGGCTACTGAGTTGGGGCCTTCCTATTTAGGAATTAAGAATATGTACTTTTGGTTTTCTGTTCCTGCATTAATTTGTTCAGGATTCTGGCCTTCAGTTCCAGCCTTGTGGGAGCTAAGCATTGAGCACACATGGGATGTGCATATCATATAAATATGGGGACAACAGACAATGCGGACTACTTGAGGGTGGAGGGATTGGAGCGAGGGATGAGTTAAGAAACTACCTATCAGGTACTATGCTCACTACCAAGGTGCCAGGATCCATACTCCAAACCTCAGCATCATCCAATATTCTCAGGTAAAAAATCTGCACATGTATACCCCACATCTAAAATGAAAGTTAAAATTAAATAAAAGATATAGTCCCCAAAGAAAAGAATATGTATTTTTAAAACACTTTTCAGGTAACTAAGATGTACCTCTTGGTTGTAGAATCTCTGAGTAAATGCGAATGCCTCAGGCCTTTAGTTTGACTGCCTCTACTTTCTAGTTCTTTGTTATTAGCAAACATTTTATCTAGTCCTTCTAAGACTGGAAAAATGTATTCTAAAAAAAGAATACTTTTTCTCTTTAATTTGTCCTATTTTGTGTCATTATGATTAAATTGGGGCCCCTTAAACCTGTTTCCAGTAAATGAGTCAAAATTCATTTTTTTTCCCAGTAGATGTGCCATATACCCAGCACAATTTATTGTGAAGATTATCTTTTTGCCTGTTAAACAGCAGTGAAGCTTGTTCATTAATCAGGTCACTGTGTATGTCTGGTCTGACTCTGGATTCTGTTCCATACATCAATTTGTCCTTGAATCAATACCACACTGTCTTAATTGCTAAGCCCTTCATATCAAGGTATACCCTAAAGCTTTTCTTCTTCTTCCTCAAGATTAACTTGTCTATCCTGGGTCATTTTCATTTTTATATACATATTAGAATCAACTTTTAAATTTTCATAAAGAAGGATCTTGATAGTAATTGTATTAAATCTATAGAAGCATTTGGAAGATTAGTATCCTAAAAGTTTTTAATTTTCCAATCAATAAATACTTTATACACTTTCATTTATTTGTCTCATTCAGTGTCTCAATAATACTTTAAATTTATAGATATCCAGTACATCTTTTGTTAGTTATCCCTAAGGAATGTATTATTCTCATAGTATTGTAAATAAGATTTTTATTTTGTTTTCCAATTTCTAATTGTCACTAGTATAGAAATCCATTTGGTAACCTGTGCCCCATGATCTTTTTCAATTTATTCATTAATTCTAATAGATTGCTTATAATACTATTCAATTTCCTAAATATTTTCCTTTTCCTTCTTCAATATTTATATGTTTTATTCTATTTCTCATACCCTATTTTAGTGGCAAGAACATTTGGAGTTCATTAGCAGCAATGGTGGTGTATATCTGTGTCTTGTTCCCATCCTTAAAGGGAAACTATTAACTATTTCACCATTAAATATAATGTTAGCTGTAGGTTTTGTGTGGGCTTTGTATAGTTTATCAGATAATTTCTTTTTATATTTATAGAGTTTGCTAAGAATTTTGATCATGGACAGGTATTGAATTTTATTCATATTGTATTTAAGGCTTTGTTTATGCCTTAAAATTATCATATGGGTTTTGTTTTTTAATCTGTTAACATGATGACTTTATTGATTTTTCAACAGTAAACTAACCTTACATTCATGAAATAAAACTTACTATATAATTGTCTATTAATGTTGGTTGTTATATATAACTTTGATTTGGGAATATTTTTATAGGCTTATGTATATATTTATGAGAGATATTGTCTTGTAATTTATTTTTTCTTTTCTAGTTTTTGTATCAAGGTTATTATAGAATAAGAAAATGATGTGGAAGTTCTTCCAGTCTTAATCTTTGGAAGAATTTGTGTAAAATTGGTATAATTCCTTTCTTAGACATTTGGAAGACTTCCCTTTGAATCATCTGAGTTCAAAAGTGTGTAAAGATAAGTGTTTGTGTGTAGGTATTTAATTTTAGATTCAATTTCTTTAGTGAGACCATTCAGATTATCTATTTATTCTAACGCTAATTGTGGTGAGTTATATATTTTGAGAACTCATCCATTATTGTGAAAATTTTAACTTTATTACTATAAATTCATCATAATGTCTTTTTATCTGTGAGATTTAGGTTGATGTTTTGTTATTTATTCTGATATTGATAACTTACATTATCTCTATTTTTTCTGATAAGACATTAACAAGTTATAATTTTAATCAAAATTTTCAAAGAATGAATTTCTGGATCTAATTTATATTCCCTATTTCATTGCTTTTTCTCTTATCTTTACTATTCCTTTGAGATTAATTTGCTTTTTATCCAACAAGCTTCTTGAACTGAAAGCTTAAATCAATGTTTTGCAACTTTTCTTCCTTTCTAAATTGTGCATTTAGAACTTAAAGTTGTACTTTAAATTTTATTACATGCTTTGCAGACAAACTGCATACTTTACATGACCCATATTGATTATTTAAAAGTCATTGTTTAATCTCTCTGAATTCTGAATCAACACTTGGTCTCGTTTATCAGCTCTGCTTTTTTTCACCTTCTTTTTCACTCATTTTTGCCTGTTTTTGTAATGTCTCAAAAATTTTGAACAGATGCCAGGCTGCATATTAAAAATTATGGAGTCTCTAGCCTCTGTTATTTTTAGCAGATCAAGTGCCAGCAGATCAGTTTCATTCTTGGACTACCGGGTTTGAGGCTTGGTTAAGGATAATCTGTTTCTGTTTCTCATGCATATTATAGCCACTTTAGGTATCTATTGCAAGTACCAAATTACTCCCAAACTTACTGGTTTTAACAACACATTTATTATCTCACAGTCTATATAGGCCAGAAATCTGGGAATGATTAAGCTGGACTTTCTGCTTCAAAGTGTCACATGCTGAATTCCATGTGTCAGCAGGGCAGCAGTCCTTTGACTTCCCAAGGATTACCTGGGGAAGGATCCACTTCCATGCTTATTCATGTGATTGTAGCAGAATTCAGGTCCTTTTGGGCTTTTGGATGAGGGATTCAGTTCCTCATTGGCTGTTGCCTGGAGGCCATGTGACTTTCTCCATAGAGTTGATCACACATGGTGTAAATATGATACTGTGTAATATACCACAGTAGAACACAACCTTTACTCCTGTGGAGTGACCTTCATTCATAAGGCATAGTCCTTCCATTGTCTCAACTGAAGTCTTGAGGTATTTCCTAAAGTCTTTCCTCCATGGTAAAGCTTGAAATTCACTCATTCTCCATTTGGGATAACATAGCTGCTAAAATCTCTGCTCAACAATTCAGCCTCCCAGTTTTGGGAGGCTGATTTGTCTTCTGATTTGTTTCTTGGAATATGTGTCATTTTCATGACCTGAAAATTCTTTATCTCTGGATTTTTGCCTCTCTTGTCCTAGCTTCTGAACTGGGCAGCCCTGAACTGTTCCTTTTGTTCTCTATCGCTTCTGATGCTTCAGTTTTCTGATACGGTACAATCTTCCTTAAATACAATTTTTATAATGTATTCTAGGAAAAATCTGAGGTGAATTCGAGCTAATTTCAGGATTATGGTTCCTAAAAACTTGCCTGTTTGGGTTGCTGTTTAAATGGCTTGTAAAAGCCATTTTATATATTTGTCTAGTAATTTTTTTCCAAGCAAGATGGTTCTTTTGATACAGTATATGTTACTAAAACTATGTATCACTGTTATTCACTCTTATGTTTGAAAGTATTACAAGAATTTTTGAAGTAAAAGCCTTTATATTTTATTACATTAAGTGGCACTGTTTCTCTGTTTTGAACAAGGGGCCTTGCATTTTCATTTTGTACCTTGTCCCACAAATCATCTAACTAGACCTGATTTCTGAGTAATAAACTTTTATTATCTGAATTATATTACTTCCTGAAAACCAATAAACTATTAAAAAATGATTTTCCCATAAAGCATCTTCCCCAGTATGACAGACTTGGTAGCTCTTCTCTAAACCCAGTTTATTTTGTGTCTCAGGCTCCCTGGCCATTGGTGTGAATGTGTGACTGAATGCTAGTCAAAGAGAAATGAGTAAAAGTGTCAAGTCCTACTTCTAGTACTATCCCATAAGAGCCTCCACTCTCTGACTCTTCATGCCTTTCCCCCCTTGATTCAATGCAGAAGACTGCAAAAACCTGGGAAGGCAGGGATAGAAAGGGTGTAGTATAGGATCTTCTTGTAGGAAAGCTGCCTGCTCCTCAGAAATACTGTTTTGGAACTTATTTATATGAATAACAAAATTATAATGTCTTTGACTCATTATCCTCTTTTCGATGTTTATTTCAATATTTAACATCTCCATTAATAGTACAGTCTATCAAACCAAATTTCTTAGTAACCAATATCAGTGTCATCCATTCGTTTCATTTAAAAATCCATTAATTGCCTCAAATGGACAAAGCCTTGATATTAACAGAAAATGTGTGTTGAAGGAAGAAGAAGCTTGGGAAATAAAACTGATGATGTTGCGTATATGTGGTTATTTTCATTGTATCGTATACATCACAATTCTATTGAAACTAAGAGAAGGGACATTTTAATATATTTGAGATAATTCGTTGCCTATATTTTAACATAAAAAAACAAAATATGTGGGAAACTAGATTATTGGTAATAAGTTAATGATTCAGCTCTAAGATAATGATACAGTTTGGCCGTGTTCCCACCCAAATCTCATCTTGAAATGTAGCTCTCAAATTCCCATGTGTCGTGGGAGGGACCCAGTGGGAGGTAATCAAATCATGGGGTGGGTCTTTTCCATGCTGTTTTCATGATAGTGAATAAGTCTCACGAGATGGTTTTGTAAAGGGGAGTTCTCCAGCACAAGTTCTCTCTTTCCTGCCATCATGTAAGATGTCCTCTGCTCTCCCACCATGATTGTGAGGCCTCCCCAGCCATGTGGAACTGTGAGTCAATTAAATCTCTTTCCTTTATAAATTATCCAGTCTTAGGTATGTTTTTATTAGCTGTGTGAGAACAGAATAGAATAATGCAGATAATCTGAATGAAATCTAAAATTATCTTTAATATATTTATGGTAAGAATAATTTGACACATTTGATATTTGTGAAACCTAAATTATGATTTACACTTAGTATAGATTGAAATTAAATGACTAAAAGAAGGACAATTTCAAATGGAATAATATAAACATTAACATAATCACATATTTCAACAAATAGTTTTATTAATTACCAATAAATTATCTCCTTTAAATTTATATAAACACACTTCATCATTTGTCACTCCATTAGAAACCAATTTTCCTATGTATGCTTGTATGTTCTTTCTTCTGCAGTGTTTTGTCAGCCAATAGATTTTGTCTAATGATACTTTATCTGTAACTCCACACTGCCTCTGGGATCACTCAATGCAATTTTTAGAGAATAAAATGAATAGTTCTGTTGGGTTTTACTAACTCTTGAGAGAGTAGGAATGACACCTGCCATAAATTACTCAAGAAATTTAATACAAATAGAAGAAATAGCAGTAAGTTAAAGAAAAACCCTTTCAATTTCATCTGCCTACGGGAAACTGCATATAATCTATCCCTGATGTTTCTATTAATATAGAAATGGAATAGTGCACTGCAAGAGGCAATGTATTATTATATTATACACTGGCATTTTGTGATTAATATGATGGCAAGACACTCATTCTACCTATTAGTAAGCCTCAAGTTAATCTTGAAGGAGGCAGAGTGACTCATTAGGAGTAAAATAATAAAAAAAAAACCCAGAAATGAAGATACAGAAAATGGAATTCAGGAGTATTGAAAAATTAATGAAAATAATTTTTCAAGAAAAAATACCAATTTTCAAATATTTAGAAGACTATACTGTGGGAAGATAGTATATTTATTTAATGGGGCTCTGCTATGAATTGAATGTCTCTCCCAAATTTCAAATTTTTTAAGCTAGAAATTTAATCTCCAAATCACATGTTGATTGGAGGTGGGATCTTTGGGAGGTAATTAGGATTAGATACGGTCATCAGTGTGGGGCTTCCTGGAACTAGTGGCTGTATAAAACAGGAAGAGAGACCTGACTGACATGTATATACTCTTGCCCTCTCACCATGTGAATGCTTTCTGCCATGTTATGACATAGTAGAAAGGCCCTCACCTGATACCAGTGCCACACTCTCGGACTTCCCAGTCACTAGAACAATGAAATAAATACACCTCTATTTTTTATAAATTACCCAATCTGTGATAGCAACAGAAAATGGACATAAGATGGACCCCAAATGGCAGAACTGGAATTATGGGGAAAATATGTGGAATCAGATTTTGGCTCAGTGAAATAGAGTTTGGCATCACACCTTAAGCAAGTCATTTTAGAAAGTACTAAGTTCTTTTCACAGATTGATATTACAGATGGTAGATGTAGTGGGCTGACTGGTAGCCCTCCAAAAGATATGTTCACGCCTTAATCCAAGAACCCATGAATATTACCTTATTTAGAAAAAGAGTCTTTGTCATTATAATTAGCTGAAGGATCTTGAGATGAGGAAATCATCCTGGATTGCCTAGAAGAGCAACAGAAGTCCTTATAAGAGACATACGGAGGAGGAGACAGAAACAGGTTAGGTGATGTGAAGACAGAAGCAGAAATTGGAGTGATGTGGCCAAAAGTGAAGGAAGTCACTAACCACCAAAAGCCAGAAAAGGTATAGAAACAATTTACCTCTAGAGCCTCTATAGGGAGTACAGCTCTCCCAACACCTGGATTTTGGATATCTGGCCATCAGAACTATTGGAGAATGAAGTTATGTTGTTTTAAGCTACCAACTTTGTGGTAGTTTTTCATGTCAGGCATAGAAAACATATAGCTAATGGACAACAATCTAGAATATAGAAGGAAATCAAGAACTGATAGGAAGATTATATTGTGTGGTATTTATATTCCTCTTCCAAAACTTCCTACTACTTTTTTCAAAATTAAAAAAAAAAATATTTAGCATTCTGGAAACATTGATGCTATTCCCTACAGCCTCCAAAAAGGAAATTTTAAAGATCATTACACTGTTTCAGATAGTTGGCATCTAAAATAAATTCAATGAGAACATTTTCCTATTGAAAATTATAGTGGAATCAGTAAAAATTTCAGAAAATTGTGATTAAAATATTTACCAAAGTGCATAACACATTATCTAATCCACAAAGTATTAATGCTTTTTCCTTTTTCTTACCCTTCTTTTCTTTATTTTCTATTATTTTTCCACATTGTGAGCAAACAGACCTCTTTATATCCAAAATAAATTTATCTAATATAAATATTAAGAAAACAGTATAGTTAGAAAAAGTAACAAGTAAAAACTGACAAAATATCTCTCCCTTAGGATCTACAAACGTATCTCTCTTAGGATAAACAAAATAAAAGTAAGAACCACTAAAATATATCTGTCTTAGGATACACAAAAATAAAAGCAAGCACTGCTAAAATGTATCTCTCTTGGGATCTTAAAGTCTTTCTTATTTTATATCTGTAGCTTTACTATTTTCTTTGCCTAACACAAGATGTAAAAGAACTTAACAGAATGATTTGACTTCCTTTTACTCAAATAAACTTGTGCATAGTTTCAGGAGCTCTTATTTTTGTTTAGAGTAGAACTGATCTAATTTCCTAGTTAGCTCACACTCATGCCTAGGAGGTACACGGAATTCCTGGAAAAGGGTACACAGAGAGTTGTTTCAACCTAATAACACCTGTGCTTTTGTGCTCAGGCTTCTGTAGCCAATTGCATAGATAATATACACTTGGATAAATGATACCTGTATGTGAACAACTAAACTTTGGGCTTGATTTTTCTTCCTAGAACTCACTGAAGTAGAACTGTAGAAGAGTAGGATTTTGTTTTGTTTTATACATTGCTTTTTTTTTATTTTTGGAAGCAGTTCAGATTAATTATTGAACAGTGTTTAGGAATCACATGCATGAGTAGAGACAATATTCTCCACATGTTTAATTTAAGCTTTGGTGGTCCTCTGAAACTCTGCCAAATATCACTTATATTTGTCAGTGGAAGGAAATGTTAGTTTAAAATAATACAAGTCTATAAATCAAAATATTTTTCAGTTTACTTTTAAAAGGTTTGTAACGTTTTTACTTGCAATTTTTCCTGATTAAATCCATTTTGGTTTGAAGAGTTGGCCTTCTCTGAAAACACTAGATTTTAGCCAAAAGAAGACAAGTCTGGTTAAAAGATGTGTAAGAGGATCACCAACTTGGCATCACAAGTTAGAAAGTACCAAGATGTTCAGGAGATAATCTTGAATTATAATTAGCTTTATTTTTCTTAAATTACACCATTAAATAGAGCTCCAAAGTTCATAATTAAAATATGTTCTCTTCCTTTCATGTGTTTCTTTATGCACATATGTAGGTATATAAGAAAACAATTCTTTAGTCAACTACAGAAAAAAAAAAGTTGACAGAGAAAAGCTCTTTTTGACATTGTCTCCCTAAATTTTGCTGTTAACTTTGAGTGCCTAATTCACAAAGGAGTACTAAATTATCTGTATAGTCCTGTAGAATGGCTGAGGAAGGTTGACATAAGCACACATACAAATATATACATGCACTTCAAGTGTATAGAAATTTAAGGAATAACGATAGGATAACGAAATGAATATGGAAACTCTTAAATGGAATAAAATACCCCAAGCCTCCGTATTAATTAGAGGTCATAGAGACAGCCCTTGAGTATATTGAGTAACTGTGGGTAGTTCAGAACTAGAAATTAGGAGATGAAATGTAATTATGACTATAACCATTGTCATACTGTCTTCTTTCTATACTACTTTGCACATTCAGCCCATGAATTTGTCATTCCCCTACTGACGTTTCTTACAATCCATACCATTATGGTTACTGGATCCCCATTCCATCATAAATAAACTCTCCTTCATCCTCAACTTCTACACAGTTGGTTTTATACATCTCCTTGTTCCCAAAAGACAGTATTTTTCTTGCAGCCATCTTCAGTGGTGCCTGCTCCTTCCCCATTACCTCTTGTCAGTCATGAACATCGCTCACATCCGTCTTTTAGATGATAAAACACCTTTTATTCTATACCCCAATGATACCCGTATCATTGGACCAACTAGTTATTCCGCATTAGCAACTCCTCCCTGGCCTGCCATTCTTCTAGTTTCTGGATTCATGGCTGGTCTTTTGGTATACCATCACCAGAACCATCAACCAGTCTTTGTTTTTGTCCTTCTAGGAGTCGCTTCAACTTGGATTATTGCTACAATTGGCCTCATCAAATATTATGCCCCCCATATTAAGAAATTCTGAGTGGAATAAAAAAAAATCATGGTTTTTCAAACCTCAACACTTTTTATTTAACAATTTATTTAGCAGTTTCTGCTTCTCAACTTTAGTACATCTCTCCATATTTCCTTCCCCCATTTCCACCTCTTTGCCAACAATAAAAATTAACTTCCAAATTCAGAGCCCAGTTGAAAATTTTCAAGGTTTATCTCCACTTTCTAAAATCTTTGGTGAATACTATTGTTTTTTCATCATTTTTCTCTCCTATGCTATCCTCATCTGTTTTTCTTACCAATTATCTCTGTCTGCTCATACCTTAACATGCTTACCTTAAAAATTCATCCTCAGCCATTTTTCTCCTCTATCTTCTGCCTCTAGATGACTTCATTTACTTCCTTTGAACTCCCATGCTGGCCTCTCCTCTGATTTCCAGACATATTTAATGAATTGTAATATCTGGAATTTCCATAAACACCTAAAAACAATAGGTTACTCGTTAAAAAAAAAAGGAAAATGAAAATATTCTTTACTTTTAACTAGAATTATACTACTAAATTCCTAAGAAAATAAGACTATTCAGTAGAAAATTAGCAGAAGACTCAAACCGTTCCAAGAAGGAATATAAATGTAGCAAAACATGTACAGCTTCTCCAGTAATAAAGAAAATGCAAATAACAGGTGGTTTTGTTTTGTTTGGCTGAAGAATACTTCCATATTAGTGAAGACTAACAAAAACCAATGTTTTGAAAGATAGGAGAAAATGAGTATTCTTATGTGTGGAGTAGGAGAGTTATTTCAGTAAAACTTTTGAGAGGACAGAAGGTATATACTATATAAGTGGAAATTGTAAATGTTAATACTAACCTTTCTGCAGTATACATACTGAGAAATGCAGCATTAGGCAATTTTGTTGTTTTGTGAACATCATATTTACAAAAATCTAGATAGCATAGCCTACCACACACCTAGGCTATAGAGTATAGTCTATTGCTTCTAGGCTACAAACCTGTACAGCATGTTACTGTACTGAATATTGTAGGCAGTTGCAACCCAATGCTAAGTATTTGTGTATTTAAACATAGAAAGGGTACAGTAAAACTAAGGTATCATAATTTTATGGGTCCATCATCATAAATGCTGTTTATTATTGACTGAAATGTGGTTATTTGGCACATGACTGTAGAGTGTTTTTTTCCTCTTTCTTAAATCATTTTAATCTATATTTTTTGCACATGAATAAGTTATTTAGTGGTGATTTCTGAGATTTAGGAGCACCCATCAGTCAAGTAGTGTACATTGTACCCAATGTGTAGTCTTTTATCCCTCAAACCCGAACCCCTACCACCCTTTCCCCCGAGGTTCCCAAAGTCCATTATATCATTCTTATGCATCCTTGTAGCTAAGCTCTCACTTGTGAGTGAGAACATACCATGTTTGGCTTTTGATTCCTGAGTTACTTCACTTAGAATAATCATCTCCAATTCAATCCAGTTTGCTGCAAATGCCATTATTTCATTCCTTTGTATGGCTGAATAGTATTCCATAGTGTGTGTGTATACATATATATATACACACATACACCCACACACACACACATATATATAATGTGTATATATGTATATACACACACGCATTTTATACACACACAAACACACACACACCCCCCACATTTTCTTTATCCACTCATTTATTGACGGGCATTTGGGCTTACTCCATAATTTTGCAATTGCAAATTGTGCTGCTATAAACATGCATGTGCAAGTATGTTTTTCGCATGACTTCTTTTCCTCTGGGTACATAGCCAGGAGTGGGATTGCTGGATCAAATGGTAGATGTAATTTTTGTTATTTAAGAAATTTCCACACTGTTTTCTATGGCAGTTGTATTAGTTTACATTCGCACCAACAGTGCAAAAGTGTTTCCTTTTCATGATATCCACACCAACATCTATTTTGTTTTTATTTTTTGATTATGGCCATTCTTGCAGGAGTAAGGTGGTATCATGTGGTTTTGATTTGCATTTTCCTGAAAATTAGTGATGTTGAGCATTTTTTCATATGTTTCTTGGCCATTTGCATATGTTCTTTTAGAATTGTCAATTCACGTCATTAGCCCAATTTTTGATGGGATTATGTGTTTTTTGTTGTTGTTGTTGATTTGTTTGAGTTCCTTGTAGACTCTGGATATTCCTCCTTTGTCAGATGTATAGATTGTGAAGATTTTCTCCTACTCTGTGGGTTTTCTGTTTACTCTGCTGATATTTCTTTGGCTGTGCAGGAGCTTTTTAGTTTAATTCAGTCCCATCTATTTATCTTTGCTTTTGTTGCATTTGCTTTTGGGTTCTTGGTGATGTAGTCTTTACTTATGCCAGTGTCTACAAGGGCTTTCCTGATGTTATCTTCTAGAATTTTTAGAGTTTCAGGTTTTAGATTTAAGTCTTTGATCCATCTTGAGTTGATTTTGTATAAGGTGAGAGATGAGGAGCCAGTTTTATTCATCTACATGTGGCTTGCTAATTGCCCCAGCACCATTTATTGAATAGGATGTCCTTTTGTCCTTTCTCCATTTTATGTTTTCATTTGCTTTGTTGAAGATCAGTCAGCTATAAGTATTTGGCTTTATTTCTGGGTTCTCTGTTCTGTTCCATTGGTCTATCTGCTTATTTTTATATCAGCACCGTGCTCTTTTGGCGACTCTGGCCTTATAGAATAGTTTGAAGTCGGGTAATGTGATGCCTCCAGATTTGTTCTTTTTGCCTAGTCTTGCTTTGGCTAATTGGGTTCTTTTCTGGTTCCATGTGAATTTTAGAATTTCTTTTTCTAGTTCTGTGAAGAATGATAGTGTTATTTTGATGGAAATGGCATTGAATTTGTAGATTGTTTTTGGCAGTATGGTCATTTTTCACAACATCGATTCTATCCATCCATGAGCATGGCATGTGTTTCTATTTGTGTCATCTGTGGTTGCTTTTGTTTTGTAGTTTTTCTTGTAGAGATCTTTCACCTCCTTGGTTAAATATATTCCTGATTCTTTTCTTTTTTGCAGCTATTGTAAAAGGGGTTAAGTTTTTGATTTGATTCTCAGCTTGGTTGCTGTTGGTGTACGAGCAGATCTACTGATTCATGTACATTAATTTTGCATCCTGAAACTTCGCTGAATTCATTTACCAGTTCCAGGGTCTTTTTGGAGGAGTCTTTAGGGTTTTCTAGGTATACCACCATGTCATCAGCAAACAGTGACAGTTTGACTTCTTCTTTGCCAATTTGGATGCCCTTTATTTGTTTCTCTTGTCTGATTGCTCTGGCTAGGACTCCCGGTACTATGTTGAACAGAAGTGGTGATAGCGGGCATACTTGTCTTGCTCCAGTTCTCAGGGGGAATGCTTTCAACTTCTCCTCATTCAGTATAAAATTGGCTATAGGTTTGTCATAGATGGCTTTTATTACCTTAAGGTATGTCCCTTGTATGCCAATTTTGCTAAGGGTTTTAAACATAAAGGAATGCTGGATTTTGTCAAATGTTTTTTCTGTGTCTATTGAGATGACTATGCGATTTTTTATTTTAATTCTGCTTATGTGGTATATCACATTTATTGACTTGTGGGTGTTAAAGCATCCCTGTATCCATGATATGAAATCCACTTTATCATGGTGGATTATCTTTTTATATGATTTGGTTAGCTAGTATTTTGGTGAGTATTTTTGCATCTATGTTCATCAGTGATGTTTGACTGTAGTTTTCTTTTTTTGTTATATTCTTTTCTGCTTTTAGTATTAGGGTGAAACTTGCTTCATAGAATAATTTTGGGAGGAATCCCTCTTTCTCTATCTTGAGGAATGGTGTTAATATGATTGGTACCAATTCTTCGAATTTCTGATAGAATTCAGCTGTGAATCTGTCTGGTCCTGGAATTTTTAATTGGTAACTTTTTAAGTATTTCAAAGTCGCTGCTTATTATTGATTTGTTCAGAGTTTCTATTTCTTCCTGATTTAATCTAGGAGGCTTGTATATTTCCAGGAATTTATCCATCTCCTCTAGGTTTTCTAATTTATGCATGTAAAGGTGTTCACAGTATCCTTGAATTATCTTTTTCATTTCTATGATATCAATTATAATATTTCCCCTTTCATTTTCAATTGAGTTTATTTAGATAATCTCTCTTCTTTTCTTGGTTAATTTTGTTAATTGTCTATCAATTTTATTTATCTTTTCAAAGTACCAGCTTTTTGTTTTATTGATATTTTGTACTTTCTTTTGTTTGTTTGTTTCAATTTCACTTGCTTCTGCTTTAATCTTGCTTATTTATTTTTTCTTCTGCTGGCTTTGGTTTTGGTTTGTTCGTGTTTCTCTAGTTCCTTGAGGTGTGACCTTAGATTGTCTATTTGTGCTCTTTCAGACTTTTTGATGTAGCCGTTTAATGCTATGAACTTTCCCTTTACCACTTCTTTTGTTGTATCTCAGTGGTTTTGATACCTTGTGTCACTACTCTTGTTCTGTTCAAAGAATTTTTAAATTTCTATCTTGATTTCATTATGGGCCCAATGATCATTCAGGAGCAGGTTATTTAATTTCCATGTATTTGCATGGTCTCGAGGGTTCCTTTTGGAGTTGACTTCCAATTTTATTCCACTGTGGTCTGAGAGAGTACATGATATAATTTCAATTTTCTTAAATTTGTTGACACTTGTTTTGTGACCTATTATATCATCTATCTTAAAGAATGTTCCATGTGGTGATGAATAAAATATGTATCCTGCAGTTGTTGGGTAAAATGTTCTATAAATATCGGTTAAGTCTATTTGTTCCAGGGTGTAGTTTAAGTCCATTGTTTCTTTGTTGACTTTGGTGATCTGTCTGCTGCTGTCAGTGGTATGTTGAAGTCTCTCACTATTATTGTGGTGTTGTCTCTCTCATTTCTTAGGTCTAGTGGTAATTGATTTATAAATTTGGGAGCTTCAGTGTTAGGTGCATATATATTTAAAATTGTAATATTTTCCTGCTGGACTAGTTTTTTAAGTCATTTTATAATGTCCCTCTTTGTCTTTTTCAACTGCTGTTGCTTTAAAGTTTGTTTTGTCTCATATAAGAATAGCTATTGCTGCTTGCTTTTGGAGTCCATTTGCATGGAATATCTTCCCCCAACCCCCCGCCTTTACTTTAAGTTTATGTGAATCCTTATGCATCAGTTGAGTTCATTGAAGACAGCAGATACTTGGTTGGTGAATTCTCATCCATTCTGCCATTCTGTAACTTTTAAGTGGAGCATTTAGGCCATCTACATTCAACTTTGGTATTGAGATATGAGGTACTATTTTATTCATCATTCTGTTTGTTGCCTGAATACCTTCTTTATTTTTTTCATTGTGTTATTGTTTTACAGGGCCTGTGAGACTTATGCTTCAAGGAAGTTCAATTTTGGTGTTCCTCAAGGATTTGTTCCAATACTTAGAGCTCCTTTTAGCAGTTCTTGTAGTGCTGGCTTGATAGCAGTGAATTCTGTCAGCATTTGTTTGTCTGAAAAAGACTGTATCTTTCCTTTATTTATGAAAGTTATTTTTGCCAGATACAAAATTCTAGGCTAATTGTTTTGCTTAAGAAGGCTAATGATAGGACCCTAATACTTTCTATCTTTTATGATTTCTGCTGAGAAATCTGCTGTTAGTCTAATAGGTTTTCCTTTATAGGTTACCTGATGCTTTTGCCTCACAGTTCTTACAATTCTTTCCTTAGTCTTGACTTTAGGTAACCTGATGACTATGTGCCAAGGCAATGATCTTTTTGCAATGAATTTCCCATGTGTTCTTTGAACTTCTTATATTTGGATATCTAGATCTCTAGCAAGGCCAGAGAAGTTTTCCTTAATTATTCCCTCTAATATCCTTTCCAAATTTTTAGATTTCCCTTCTTTCTCAGGAACACCAATTATTCCAATTATTCTTAGATTTGGTGGTTTAGCACCCCACACTTCTTGGAGGCTTTGTTCATTTTTTAAATCCTTTTTTTTCTTTTTTTTTTTTTGAGACGGAGTCTGGCTCTGTCACCCAGGCTGGAGTGTAGTGGTGCAATCTTGGCTCACTGCAAGCTCCGCCTCCCGGGTTCATGCCATTCTCCTGCCTCAGCCTCCGGAGTAGCTGGGACTACAGGTGCCCACCACTATGCCCGGCTAATTTTTTGTACTTTTAGTAGAGACGAGGTTTCACCATGTTAGCCAGGATGGTCTCGATCTCCTGACCTCGTGATCCGCCCGCCTCGGCCTCCCAAAGTGCTGGGATTACAGGCGTGAGCCACCATGACTGGCAAATTCTTTTTTCTTTGTCTTTGTCAGATTGGGTTAATTTGAAAGCCCTGTCTTTGAGCGCTGATGTTCTTTCTCTATTTCTTTAATTCTATTGCTGAGAATTTCTAGTGCATTTTGCAATTCTTTAAGTATGCCCTTCATTTCCAGAAGCTGTGACTGTTTCATACTTATGCTATCTATTTCACTAGAGATTTTTCCATTTACATTCTGTATCTTTTTTTAATCTATTTAAGTTGGACTTCACCTTTCTCTGGTGCCTCCTTAATTAGTTTAGTAGTTAACCTTCTGAATTCTTTTTTCTGGCAATTCAGAGATTTTTGTCTTGGTTTGGATCCATTGCTGGGGAGCTAGTGTGATCTTTTGAGGGTGTTAAAGAATCTTATTTTGTCATACTGCCAGAATTGTTTTTCTTGTTACTTCTCATTTTAGTAGACTGTGTCAGAGGTCACCTATGATACTCAAGGGCTGCTGTTCAGATTCTTTTGTCCCAAAAGGTGCTCTCTTGATTTGGTTCTCTCCCAATTCTTCTGGGGATGTGGCTTCCTGAGAGCCAAGCTGAAGTTATTTTTGTTTCTCTTCTGGATCTAGCCACCCAGCAGAGCTACTAGGCTCTACACTGGTGCTGGGCAGTGTCTGCAGAGTTCTGTGATTTGATCCATCTTCAGGTCTCTCAGCCATGGATACCAGCTCCTGCTCTGTTAGAGGTAGCAGGGGAGTGAAGTAGACTCTGTGAGGCTCCGTGGTTTTATTTTTGTAATGCTTTTGTGTCAGTTAGCCTCCAGCCAGCAGGTGGCGCTTTCAAGAGTGCATCAGCTGCAGTAGTATAAGTAGGATACAAGCTTGCTCTAGGGTCAGGCAATGAGTGGGACCATAGAGCTCCCAAGAGATCATGTACTTGGTATTCAACTACCAGGGTGGATAGAGAAAGACCTTCAGGTGGGGGCAGGGTTAAGGGTGTCTGAGTTCAGACTGTCCTTGAGTGGGGCTTGCTGCAGCTGCTGTGGTGTATCGGGATGTGGTTCTCAGGCCAATGGAGTTCTGTTCCCAGGGGATTATGGCTGACTGCTGTATCACAGAGGTCACCAGGGAAGTGGGGGAAAGCCATCAGCCACAGGCTTCACCCAACTCTCACACAGCCTGCAGCCAGAAAGACTGGTCTCACTCCTACCATGCTCCCCCCAACTGCACCGAGTTTATTTCCAGGCAGCAGGTGAGCAGGGTTGAGAACTTTCCCCAGGGTACAAGCCTTTCAGCAAAGAAAGCAACTCACAGTTCCTTGGCTGTCCCATGGCTCCTGCAGCAGCAATCCTCTTCCAAGGGTGTGTGGATTATCTCAGCTTTCCTGGTTTGTTGCTGCGGTAGATCTCAGAGCAAAAGTTAACAATATGAGTCTCCACATGTGGCTCTGTCTTTCTGAGTGGGAGCTGCAAGTTAGTCCTGCCTCGTATCCACCATTTTCTCCCTTTCCTTAACAATAGGTTATTATTTTATAACTTTTATCCTGCTTATTTACTCAGATAAACTGTATCAATAGGGTCCAGTCAGGGAGAGAAAGTCCAGATCATAAATTTCATTGTCAGAAATTTATTACAAAGAACTGTAGCAAGGTTACTAGAAGAGCTGAAAGAGCAAAAAATGAGACACGGTGAGACAATCCAGAGTTTGGCAAGAGAAAGAGACCATTACTATCCCCTGATTTATCAGAAACCAGGAGTCTGAGCCACCAGGAGGCAGGAGGGAAGTGTTAAAACAGAGAAGGATTGTAATGAGAACTGGAAACAGACAAGAAACATAGCCTCTACCAGGGATACAGACAGAACAAAAAATGGGGGAAGATATGTGCTGGCTTTTTTGTTTCTCCAACCCCAGTACCTCCCTATGCCTCCTGTTTGCTATAGCTAGTAAACAAGGGAGCTTGGGATATGTTGTAGAGGTTAGCCCCATGCAATTCAGAGTAAAGCAGAGGAAGGGCAAGAAATTGATTTGAGAGCAATTGTACAAATGACGAGTAACCTACCAACCACGGTGATTTGAGTCAAGGCCTTTCTGCTTACTGTTTTCTGTTTGAAAATATCTTTGCCCAAACTGTGATTGCTTACGTATACTCTTCCCTGATACAACCAGAGAGACATACTTTCCCTCTGTTATATATCTTCCTTGTTTTGTCTTTAACAGTCTATTAAAAGATGTTTGCTGAATGTATCTTTTTCTGTTGAGTGAATGCTATTTCTAAATACCAATTTTAGGTTTATAAGTTTCAATAAAACCAACAAGTAAATATATTGAGCTGTGTCACTAAACAACTACACTCATGTCAAGATAAGCAAGTACAATGACAGACACTCATTATCTCACAGCTTCTGTTAGCCATATAGAGAATGCAAAATTATCCACTTTTTAATTTCTCTTTATTCTAAGGTAATTAAAAATAAAGATTTCATATTCTCCCATCCATGTATCATATTACATTTTAGAAACACATCTAATTCACAGCTGGGGAAGGAAGTGCTATGGTCTGAATGTGTCCCTTAAAATTCTTATGTTGAAATTCACTCACCAGTATAATTGTATTAAAATGTGGGGCACTTAGGAGATGATTAAGTCATGAAGGCAGAGCCATCATGAGTGGGATTACGGCTCTTTTAAAAGGGTGTGAGGCAAATGCTGAGGGAATTTATTACCACAGACCTGCCTTACAAGAGCTCCTGAAGGAAGCACTAAATATAAAAAGGAAAGACTGTTACTAGCCACTACAACAAAAAAAAAAACCTTAAGAACACAGACTAGTGATACTATAAAGAAACCACATAATTAAGTCTGCAAAATAACCAGCCAAAATCATGATTACAGGATCTAAACTACACATATCGTTACTAATCTTACATATAAATGGGCTAAACATCCCAAATAAAAGACATACAGTGGCAAGCTGGATATAGAAGCAAGACCCATTGATATGCTGACTTCAAGATACCCAACTTACATGCAGTGCCACACAGAAGCTCAAAATAAAGGGATGGAGGAAAATCTACCAAACAAATGGAAAACAGAGAAAAGCAGGGGTTGCAATCCTAGTTTCTGACAAAACAGACTTTAAACCAACATCATAAAAGACAAAGAAAGTAATTACTTAATGGTAAAAGGTTCAATTCAACAAGATCTAATTACCCTAAATATATATGCACCCAACACAAGAGCACACAGATTCATAAAGCAAGTAATTAGAAACCTTCAAAGAGACATGGACTCCTACACAATAACAGTGGGAGATATTAACACTCCACTGACAATATTACCCAGATCATTGAGACAGAAAATCAACAAAGATATTCAGGACATGAATGGGATCAAATGGACCTGATAGATATTTATAGACCTCTCCACCCAAATACAACAGAATATTCATTCTTCCTATTGTCACATGGCACATACTCTAAAATTGATCTCTCATACAAAGTAAAACACTCCTCAGCAAATGCAAAATAACTGAAATCATAAGAAACAGTTTATCAGACCAAAGCACAATCAAATTTGAACTCAAGAGTCAGAAATTCACTCAAAATCATACTCTTAAGTGGAAACGAAATAACCTGCTCCTAAATGGCTTTTGGGTCAATAATGAAATTAAGGCAGAAATCAAGAAGTTCTTTGAAACCAATAAGAATAAACTTACACATACCAGAATCTCTGGGACACAAGGCAGTGTTGAGAGGAAAATATATATCACTAAATACCCACATCAAAATATTAGAAACTCAAGTTAACAACCTAACATCACAACTAAAATAACTAGAGCAACAAGAGCAAACAAACCCCAAACTGAACAGAAGACAAAAAATAACCAAAAGCAAATCTGATCTGAAGAAGATAGAGACAAAAAAAGAAAATTCAAAAGCACAATCAATCCAGCAGCTTATTCTTTGAAAACATTAATAAAATAATTAGACCATTAGGTAGACTAATAAAGAATAAAATGGAGCAGATTCAAATAAACACAAGCAGAAATGACAAGGGGGATATTATTAACAATACAGAAATACAAATAACTATCAGATAATATTATGAACACCTCTATGCACATAAACTAGAAAATCTAGAAGAAATGGATAAATGTGTAAACACATACAGCCTCACAAGAATGAATCAGGAAGAAATTGAATCCCCGAACAGACTAATAACAAGTTCTGGAATTGAAACAGTAATAAATAGTCTATCAACCAAAAAAAGCCCCGAACCAGATGGATTCACAGCTGAACTTTACCAGATGTACAAGGAAGAGCTGGTAGCATTCCTACTGAAACTATTCCAAAGAATTGAGGATGAGGGACTTCAGCCTAACTCATTCTATGAGGCCAGTATCATCCTGTCATCCTGACACCAAAACCTGGCAGAAGCAAAAAAAAAAAAAAAAAAAAAAAAAGAAAGAAAGAAAGAAAAAAGAAAACTTCAGGCCAATATCCTTGATAAACTCTGATGCAAACATCTTCAACAAAATACTGCAAACCAAATCCAGCAGCACACCAAAAGGTTTTGCACCACAATCAAATAGGCTTCATTTCCAGGATGCAAGATTGGTTCAAAACATGCAAACCAGTAAATGTATCACATAAACAAAACTAAATCAAAAACAACATGATTATCTCACTAGATGCAGAAAAGGTTTTCAATAAAATTCAACATCCATTTATGTTTAAAACTCTCAATAAACTAGGTGTTGAAGGAACGTACCTCAAAATAATAAGATCTATATATGATAAACCCACAGCCAACATCATACTGAGAGGGTAAAATCTGGAAGCGTTCTTCTTGAAAATTGGCACAATACCAGGATGCCCTCTCTCATCACTCCTATTCCACATAATATTGGAAGTTCTGGCCAGAGCAATCAGGCCAGAGGAAAAGATAAAGCGTATCCAAATTGGAAGAGAGGAAGCCAAACTATCCTTGTTTGCAAGTGATATGATCTCATATCTAGAAAACCACACAGTCTCGGCCTAAAAGCTTCTTAAGCTGAGAAACAACTTCAGCAGTCTCAGGATACAAAATCAAGGTACGAAAATTATTAGCATTGCTATACTCCAACAACAGTAAAGCCAAGAGCCAAATCAGAAATGTACTCCCTTTCATAATTGTCATACACACACACACACAAAAACCTAGGAATGCAACTAACTAGGGAGGTGAAAGAACTCTACAAGAAGAACTTCAAACCACTGCTCAAAGGAATCAGAAATGATACAAACAAACGAAAATCATTCCATGTACATAGATAGGAAGAATCAATATTGTTAAAATAGCCATACTGCCCAAATAATTTATAGATTCAGAAATCTATGCCTATTAAATTACCATTGACATGCTTCACAGAACTAGAAAGAAAGTATTTTAAAACTCAAATGGAATCAAAAAGCCCAATTAGGCAAGGTAATCCTAAGCAGAAAGAACAAAGCTGGAGGCATCACACTACCCAACTTCAAACTGTACTGCAGAGCCGGACAACTCAAGTAGCATGGTACTGGTACAAAAATGAACACATACACCAATGGAACAGAATGAAGAATCTGGAAATAAGACCACATACCTACAACCATCTGATCTTCAAAAACCTGACCAAAACAAGCAATGGGGGAAAAGATTTCCTATTCAATAAACGGTGCTGGGATAACTAACTAGCCATATGCAGAAGATTGAAACTGGACCCCTTCCTCACACCATATACAAAAATTAACTGAAGATGAATTAAAGACTTAAATGTAAAACCCCAAAGTATAAAAACCCTGGAAGAAAACCTAGGCAATACCATTTAGGACATAGGCACAGGCAAAATTTCATGACAAAGATGACAAAACCAATTGTAACCAAAGCAAAAATTGACAAATGGATCTAATTAAACTAAACAGCTTCTGGACAGCAAAAGAAACTATCAACAGAATGAACAGACCACCTGCAGAATGAGAGACAATTTTTTCAAACTATGCATCTAACAAAGGTCTAATATCCAGCATCTATAAGAAACTTAAACAAATTTACAAGTAAAAACAAACAACCCCATTAAAAAGTGGGCAAAGAACGTGAATTGTCACTTTTCAAAAGAAGACACATAAGCATATATATGTGTGTGTGTGTGTATGTATATACATGTATAGATAGATGGATAGATAGATAGATGATAGATAGATAGATAGATAGATAGATAGATAGATAGATAGATAGATCAACCTTACTGATCATTAAGGAAATTCAAATCAAAACCAGTCAGAATGGCTATTATTAAAAAGTGAAAAAATAACAGATGCTGGCAAGGTTACAGAGAAAAAGACACACTTATGCACTGTTGGTGGGAGTGCAAATTAATTCAACCACTGTGGAAAAGTGTTGCAATTCCTCAAAGACTTAAAGACAGAAATACCATTCCACCAAACAATCCCATTACTGGTGTATACCGAAAAAAATATAAATTGTTCTATTTAAAAAAACATATGCATGCATATGTTCATTGCAGCACTATTCGCAATAGCAAAGATATGGAGTCTGCCTAGATGGTCATCAATGACAGATTGGGTAAAAAAAATGGGGTATGTATACACCATGGAATGCTATCTAGCCGTAAAAAAAGAACAAGATCATGTCCTTTGCAGGGACATGGATGGAGCTGGAGACCATTACCTTTAGAAAACTAATACATATTGAGAGTTACCCAAATTGAATGCAGGAAACTTATTTCTGTTCTTTTACACTTGTATTTACAAGTGGACTTACTTCTTACTTCAGTACCTATTAAATAGGAGAACTGCCAGAAGAAATACCAACAATGACTGCTCCCAAATGACACCCATGAACTGGTGCCTTCAGTAGAAAGGGATCTATGAGAAAGGTATATTAAGGGCATTAATATTATGTTTCTTGTCAGAGGTAAATACTGCATAGTGTTCTTTGCTCTTGTCAATATCATGCAATTTTGTTCCTATGATGGCTCAATTTTTTTTTACATATAGCGGAAAAAAATTTACACTACTTTTAAAAATTAACACTCACACATTGAACCACATAATTGTAGTCTTCTACTCTAATTCAGGCTCCATATGTTGATTCAAACCTACAAAACCTGATTTCTTGTATTCTTTGAGGTAGCTAGAAACCTAAATTTCTCTGTACCTTTTGAAGATAAGATGGAAGAAAATCTGCATGAGAAAATGGTCTGTATAATATCAATGGTCATTTTAACAGTCTCTCAGGAACTGTTCAAAATCAAATTGATGAAATCAACATTCAGTAAATTAGCTATAATGTTTCCAAAGAAATCAGATGATCCACCTCTAACAAACTTTTGAGACAGATTCAAATACAGATTCTCCACCCATTTCCTTTGATGCTATGTACAAAGCCATAATTTTTTATATGAAAGGAAATAAGCTATTTATGACAATTTTCTCTAAATTCTGTCAGTGCATGTTTTCTGTTCTATAGACAAAACTCTCCACAAATTCATTAAGCACTTTTCATTCCAAAAAGGAATAGGCTTTTGCCTGTATTTTCTATTTGCAGTTTTTAAAGAATTATAAAATTTCATATAGCTTGCAGAATTTTCATAGCATATTAACATATAAAAATTAGCAGAATAATGTTCACTAATTGGTACATGCTGAAAAGTGCAATATATGCACATGGAATAAAGTTTGATGTATTCTAAATAAGCTGATCATAGCCCTCCACTTCTGTTTTCCTACTATAAATATATTTTTATTTCATAGTTTGTGGTATTTTGATAACAAGTAGGCTGTGATTGATTTTTATTCTGATGTAAGTAAAGGACAAGTTGGACCTTTTCTCTAAATATGCAGAGTAAAACAAAACAATACAGACCACTGGCATTAATTCTCTAACTCTGAAGTCATTGTATGAATATTTAAACAAGGCTTAAAATTTAAACCTGACATTAAAGGGAAATAAAACCTACTGAACCTTGTGAAAACAAAACACCTAATTGCATATTTACTTTATTGACTTCTCATTTTTCCCTACCAAAATTCTTTGGGACACGTGCTAGAAAACAATTCTCTGCAATGATGTAATGACCCACTCTAAAAATATCTGTGGCAGCTTTCCAGCAAGCAGTTCTAAGGTAATAAACTAGTTAGAATTTATAATTGATGAATATTATTTTCAATTGTAGAAAAGCATTTTCCTAATGTAAGATGACACATATACCTCACCCTTACCCTGTCCTCCTTCCTCTTCAGTCTATAATGTGAGTCTGTTGTTTCCAAGTCTCCTGTCATTCAAGGAAAGGATAACTTTGGCATTTCTCTTGATTTTCTACTCACTCATTTAGATCATTAGCATCACCAGAGTTATGATACTTTCACTATCAAATAAGCCTTATCTATACTATAGCTTACAGTGATGGGTATGGAACTGGCATCAGTGAAAAGTACCTGTGTTTTGCTGATTGACTGCTTTGGTAAGAATTAGAATTTATTTCTAAGCTGAGGTTGGAAGATGTTAGATGCATATTAAACCAGAGGAGCCTGGGAAATAATCCAATTATTAACACTTATTGGCACTGCCATTAAAAAGCCAATGTCAAAAATCATCTTATTATAACAAAAAACACATAAGAAATTCTATTTCTATTTTCACAGTAGTGTTGTGATCCTTAATGAGTTGTTTATACAGTACAAAACTTTACTGAAGAAGAAAAATGTATGTGTGAGAATGGACAGTAATGCATTGCTTAACAAAGACGGTGCACTCTGAGAAATTTGTCGTTAAGCAATTTCCTCATTCTGCAAACATCATCAAATGTACTTACACAAACCTAGATGGTGTAGCCTACTAAACACCTAGGTTATATGTTATGCCTACTGTCCATAGGCTACAAACCTTTAAAGCATGTTACTGTAATGAATACTTTAGGCACTTGCATCACAATGGTATTTTTGTATCTAAACATATCTAAACATAGACAAGTAAAATATGCTACAAAATATTTTAAAATGGTACGCCTGTATAGGACAACCCCATTCTAATTTTATTTGTCTACTGTCTTATATGTGGTCCATATAAGTTATTATGTGGTGCATGACTATATACATGTGCATACACATACACACACACACTTATACGTGATGTTTACGAATTAGGAAGAAAACAGCACTAATTTTACCCTGTTGAAAGAATATGTTAAATGTATTTATTGATTTTAAAATAATTTAATAATTTACAAGCATTTGATTTTTCTTCTTCAAACCTTCACATTTCTCAAATGTGTTAATACTGAATCAAACTAATGCAGACCGAGTCTAGCTCAATTTTGCTTTTTTGCTTTTTTTTTTTTTCTTTTTGGAGATGGATTCTCACTCTGTTGCCCAGGCTGCAGTGCCGTGGTGCCGTGGTTCACTGCAGCCTCAACCTCATAGGTTCAAATGATCCTCCCAAGTTGCTAGGACTACAGGCGCACACCACTATGCCTAGCTAAGTTTTGTATTTTTTGTAGAGATGGGGTTTCGCCATGTTGCCTAGGGTGGTCTTGAACTCATGGGTTCAAGTAATCCTCCTGCCTTGGCCTCCCAAAGTGCTAGAATTACAGGTGTAAGCCACTACGCCCAGTCCCACTTTTTCATTTTGAACACCCTTAGAAATATTTACAATTCTTTAATAATCTTTGAGGCAAGTTTTGGATAGGTTTCCATTCTCCTATTCCTGCCAATATACACTTAATCATAATCAAATCCCTGTCACATAAAAATCAAATTACATTAAAATTTTAAAGCCCAATTAACCCCATACTTCCCCCCAGATAACACCATCTCTGTCTTTGTCTTTACTTGCCTATAGGACAACTATAATTCCATACAAACAGATACTTAAATACTTACTTAATGGTTGCAGACTGAACTAGCTCTCATACCTACAGCCACAGAAAGCTGCTCTGCCTCCCACGTTCCACATTGCATGGAATGCTGCATTTCAGACCATTTGTTCACTCCTGAAATCTGGGAGGTGGAGTTGACTTCTTCTTCCTTGTGAGCAATTAACTACCAAAATCTATATATCATCTTTTGTTTATTTCAGATACAGTTTATTATTTCTTTCCTGACTATCAAAGCTTAAGTCATCTGTTGCTCTCTAACTGGTTTCCCTGGCTCTAGGCTTGTCCCTTCTTCCTAACCTGAGTTTCCCATTTTCAACTCAGCAGCCAGATGACCTTCTTGAAAGTAATTGTTAATGTTTACTTGTCATTTCTATATGTCTCATCATTGCCTTTGGGATGAAGTCTAAAATTCCATCCAAATCTACTTTTAATCCATTCTTTCTTCTCTTTGAGCTCTTATCTCCCTTGATGCCTGCCAATCTCCCCACTCTCAATCCATGCTCCAGTGATACTGAGATTTCAGATCCCTCAAAATTCATTCAGGTTTTATGACTGAAATATTTTTTCTCCTACTCCATTTAATCTGAGTCACTTCTAACATTCAGTTAGATTTTAGTTGAAATAACATTTCCATCAATAATTTTTAATCCACACAATTACTTGCACACTCACTATATTTCTCTCTTAAAAGCATTTGCCGCAGTTCACCTTAATGATACATTTAGTTGTTCATATTCCCCCAGTAGATGATTGTAAATTTAGTGAAGACGTAAGTGATAATCTTTTATTTATTTACTCGTATATTTTATAACAATGTACAAAGTAATAGCCAATATTTTAAAATGGACAAGTAATTAAATCAAAAGAAAGTGAAACAACATTGTGCTGGGATATATGTTTATGAAGAGATGTATGTGTGCACCTGAAGGCATAGATACATTTTATGCCTTCTTAGTAGACTAGTCACAGAAAAGTCAATATTCTATTAATTTGCTCTCCGAAAACTAAAGGAAGAGAAAATCATAAAAATTGAAGCAACAAGTAAAATAGAATAATATGACTACACATTGCTGTATTTCCAACATGGCACATTCCATTGTACTATACATGTTCTCAGGTAGAACAATAGAGTGAAAAAAAAGACCAGATCCACAATCCCACTCCTGTGACCATTAGTAGCATATGTTTTTACAGTGGAGAAAAATCTTTCATTTACTCTACTTTTTCCAGTGAAATCTGAAAACTATGTCATTGATCTGGTAGAAATGACTTTAAAGGTATAAAGGTTTATTTAAATAGCAAGTGTGTTCTGCACTTAAATGATCCATCCTTGTGTGTTTTAATTCAGTAAGGCATATTTATTTACCATAAGAGTTCAGCAAATTTGAACCACATGCTCTGACAACAATTTGACTGGATCCAATAATTATGCATCTTTACTTCATTAAATACATAAAATACTTTTTGCAACCATTTTAGGGTCATAAAACAATTGTGAAGGCTCTTCTAATAGTGTGAAGATTGGAAAAGAATTTTACTTTAAAATATTGTGATAATTTTAGGCTTTTTTAAAAGATTTTTTTAAAGTTTCAAAATACATCCACACACACAAAACCCTCACAGGCATACATGCACATCCCCCAGACATACAGACACACATATAAATATGTATATTATAATTTGTTTTCATGAGGTTATATTTATGTATAGCAATGAAGATCAAACACTATGGAAAAGTCCAATGGAAGATGACCCATATTCGGCCATGAAAAATGGTTTATTAGTCGGAATTCAGTAATCAAAATAAAGCCACTAAGAGTACAGGAACAAAAGGGTTTATCGTATTAATAAAAGCTTACACAAATGTGGCAAAGTTAGGAAAAGCTTCAAAGTGGAGAGCCAGATTAGAGAAAGGTCATTAACCCTAATAGCTTCAAGCAATGATGTGAGTGGGTGTTTCAGAGCTCACAGAAAGATCTCAGAAGTTATAAACATCTGGGAGCCTGGCACATCAGCTAAATGTGTTTTTATAGTGAGATCTGATAAGGCAGCCCCCTCTGAGGAAACTAGTCAAATATTAGATGGTAGGCTTGAGTTGCTATTAGATGGTGGAGTCTGTCATTTGGAAGATTAACTAGAAGCTCTAGCTCTCTGGGTGCATCTGCATTTGTCTTTCCCCTGTCTGTCCATGTATTAGGGTTCTCTAGAGGGACAGAATTAATGTGATACATGTATATATGAAAGGGAGTTTATTCAGGAGAATTGACTCACACGATCATACAGTGAAATCCCATGACAGGCCGTCTGTAAGTTGAGGACAAGGAAGCCCGTAGTAGTTCATTCCACGTCCCAAAACTTCAAAAGTAGGGAAGCTGACAGTGCAGACTTTGCTCTGTGGCTGAAGGCCTGAGAGTCCCTGGCAAACCGCTGGTGTAAGTCTAAGAGATCAAAAACCATAGAACTTGGAGTCTGATGTTCAAGGGCAGGAAATATTCAGCATGGGAGAAAGATGAAGGCCAGAAGCCTCAGCAAGTCAGCTTCTTCCACCTTCTTCTGCCTGCTTTTTCTAGCCACACTGGCAGCTGATTGGATGGTGCCCACCTACATGGTGGGTGGGTCTTCCTGAGGGTAGATCTTCCTCTCCCAGTCCACTGACTCAAATGTTAATCTCTTCTGGCAACACCCAGAAACACCTAAATACACCCAGAAACAATACTTTGCATCCTTCAACCCAATCAAGTTGACACTTAACCACACAGTCTATCATGACCATCTAAGAGTAATGGCTTCCTGTTAATTTCCACCATTTAAACCATATATATATATATATATATATATATATATATATATATATTCCTGTTTTCATCAACTCTAACCCAGAACCACATAGGGATGAGGATTTCAGAATAGAGTTTCCAGACCCAGTCTAGTTGTCATAAGTAATTCAGAACAAATGAATAAGCATCACTAAACCCCTTTCCTAGCCAATAATAATAAAAATAATAAATTTTAAAAGTTAACTGAAAAAAGAAACAAAGCAGTTTTCATTCTTTATGGAACAGATTTAATTTTGGCATGTGAAGATTATTGTCATTAATATGGGTTATAAGAATTTTCTTAGGTTTATTTCAAATGCCAGTACCACTTGCATGAACTATAGAGAATTAACACATTACCATTTTATTTACTTATTCACTAAATTATTTTCTTCATTTTAGAAATATTTAGTAAGTATTCATGTATCAAACATGTACAGTGGATACAAGTGTGAACACAAAAGCAAAGTTCTGGACATGTGCAAATTATATTCCAGAGGGAAGAGAAAAGTGATAAACAGAAATGTCTGTTAATTATAGTCATGTAAAAAAGAATAGAACTGGGTAAGTAATTTAAGAATGGAAGAGGCTAATGCATCAGTTATACAGAGTAATAAAAGAAAACCTCTCAGATATGACATGTGATCAGAGAGCTGAAGAAAATGAGCATGTGAGCTCTAGTACCTGGCAAAATGAGTGCTTCAGGCAAAATGAGCAGCAAGTGTTAAAACATTGGAGGCAGGAATGTGTGTATTGTTTCAAAGAAATAAAAGTGCTAGTGTGGCAGACTGCAATGAGAATGAGGGAAATCAGAATGTAATAAAGACTAAGTGGAACACCAGAGACAGATGTTGCAGGATTGGGAGGCCATGGTTTAGAGTATGCAATGTTTTAAATAGGGACCAAATGTCGTCAAGGTTTTTATACTAAAAGCATTAGTGCAGATACTAGATGGGGAATAGAAAGAGACTGGGCTTGCCAAGTATAGCATGAAGGCTGTTAGGAACCATGAAAAGTGGCCCCGTTTCTGAATAGGCCATGACAAAGTCTATTTGTTTCAGTCTTAGGACTCTGTTTCTCAGAGTTGGATGGATCAAAACATTTCCCATAAAAGCCTAGAATCAGGCATTGAACGGTCAAAATTATTTTTTCAAGACTCAAAATCTAGCTTTGTTCAGAGACAACAAATAGTCTAAATAATAAGGCTTTTAAGCTCACTAGCCTATTGGATGACATTTGATTTACTTGTTCTATTTGTTTTTGGGACCTGAATGAAAGGATTAAAAATAACATTAAAATAGAATCTAGTTAAGATTTTTATGTCTGTGTTATTCACCAATAATAGCTTAATGAATATTTCTTCTATTTTAATTAGAATTTTCACTGTGTAACTAGTTCCTGGACCTCATGAAACAATTGTCACTTTCCCACTGATACCAATTACCTGAGCTAAAATCTATCTTCTGCCTTGTGGTATTTCAAATATGGTGTAAATGATGAAAATGCAGGCAGCTGAAGTAATTGTCAATTCAATTGTAGTTACACTCGGCTGAATTGCATAAATTTATCATCAATTCTAGACCATAGCATTATTTAAATTTAATTTCTGCAGTTTTATGGTTTGCTGGTATGTTTAATTGCCCAGAAGTTGGCCAGTAGTATAAATTGAACAGCTGTATTTTTTTGGTTCAGATCACTATATTAACAAAATTATAAGCTTATAAAATATATTGTCAGATTATAGTAATTTAAACTATTATGCGGTTTACATGATTATTTGAAAATTTATTACTTTGAACTTTAAAAAGCAATATATAGCAAGGTGCCCACTTAAGCTTAAAAGTAAGCAATGCCTCTTATATTCAGAAAGTGTTGCTGATGAGCTTCATTGAAAGCAACTCATTTAAAAAGTAGACATAGAATTCACTAACCACCTACCTCTTTAAGGTTGAAACAGCAGCAGTGTAATCCATCAAACTCCAAATCCTACTATCATTTATCTGAAAATTAAAATGGTAGATACGAAATATAAGTAAAGTAAAAATTGGCATATAGGGATAATATCATATCTAATCATTGCTGCATATCTTAATGTGCTTATTTTTTTAAGATTACAAAATGTACCCTGTACAATAAATTATCCATAAAACTATACTGAAGCAATTTTTTTTTTTTTAGTCGGAGTCTTGCTCTGTGGCCCAGGCTGGAGTGCAGTGGCGCGATCTCTGCTCACTGCAAGCTCCACCTCTCGGGTTCACGCCATTCTCCTGCCTCAGCCTCCCGAGTAGCTGGGACTACAGGCGCCCGCCACTACGCCCGGCTAATTTTTTGTGTTTTTAGTAGAGACAGGGTTTCGCCATGTTAGCCAGGATGGTCTCGATCTCCTGACCTCGTGATCCGCCCGCCTCGGCCTCCCAAAGTGCTGGGATTACAGGCGTGAGCCGCCGCACCCGGCCTACTGAAGCAAATTTTTAAGCTTTCCTTTGCATATACCAATTCAAAAAGCTCTCATTAAACTCCCAAACATACTCCATCCCCAAAGCTCTTGCAAACACATACATACAACACAAACAAGGCAAAGAAAATACAAAGTATATACCATTTACCATTTTCTTAAAAATCTAAATCAAAGTCAACACCTGATATAAATGACTGTGAAAGAAATTTAACTAAGTTCGTGTATTTAAAATGTCTTCAGGCTGGGCACATTGGCTCATGCCTGTAACCCCAACATGTTGGGAGGTTAAACTGAGAGAATCGATTGAGTCTGGGAGTTTGAAACCAGCCTGGGCAACAGGGTGAGACCCAATCTCTATAAAAAATAATATAATTAGCTAGGCATGGTGGTGTACAGCTGTGGTCGTACCTACTCGGGAGCTGAGGTGGGAGGAACCCTTGAGCCCAGGACTTCTAGGTTACAATGATCTATGATTGTGCCACTGCACTTCAATCTGAATGACAGTGTGAGAACCTATCTGTTAAACAAAAAAGCCTTTGAATTTAGTTAATATTTCAGAAATAGAATAAGGATTTCTCACTCTCTCTCTCTGTCTCTCTCTCTCTCTCTCTCTCTCTCACACACACACACACACACAATTTGTATTTGTACTAACCATGAAATTGCGCTTTAGTTGTTTTCTAATTTTTAAAAATTCTGTTTGCCCCCAAAAATAAGTGAAATCAAAGGGAAATTACTATGTAGGAATAAGTCTACTTTCAACACAGGTCACAGCAAAGACTTAATTGTCTTAATATGTAAAGACAATGGTCGTACATATTTTTAGAGTACATGTGGTATTTTGATACCTATATACAATGTGCAATAATTAAATCAGGATAATTGGGATATTCGTCACCTCAAACATCTATCTTTTCTTTGTGTTGATAACATTTCAATTCTTATTTTCTAGCTATTTTGAAACATATAAGAAGCACTAGGAGTAAGCAGCATTCGTGGTGATATTCTTTTCTTCCTCTGACCCCACACTCAGTCTCTAGTTTAGCATGATAGTCTCTTAATTCTGCTTCCAGTTTTCCTGTGTTGGTATATTATCCACATCTCCAGCAGAGGAATTTAATAGATTTTTTTTTAAATCAGGCAAATACACACTACTGAACCAGTCAATTCATTATTTCCAATAGTCTCAGTATATGCCAGACATGCAATATTGGAGAACAACACTTTTTTCACCCTCCTGGTAAGGGCCTACTCCGAACCTCGATGTATCCTAACATACTCCTCCACATAGATTGGAAGTGGAAAGAGGCTTGCATCATTAGAAAGTCTAGATGAAAACTCTTGGAGTAAGTGAATCTCCCCCATCCTGTCTCTCCTTTTCTTGAGAGAAGTTGCTCAGAGAGCAGCATAGTCAGATCTACTCGTTGGAAGAGGAACTCCATGAGAGCAAGCACCAACCCATTTGGCAGTGGCTTGTGTGTAATTAGCTTCATTCTGGGCTTCAGTGTGGGAACACGGTCTCCCTGAAGTTTATATCCATGCATATTGCAATATCATCATTTCCAATAGTTTTTGCTGGACCTCTTGCTCTTTTTTATCAATTGATTCAGAGGAAATTTGACTGGGTTCCCCCAAAGAATCAAATGCATAGAATTTCATCTCAAATGCAGACAGGCATTGTTTTAAAATCTAAAGATAGTTCTCCTTATAATATACAGCAGGGGTCCCCAACCCCCAGGCTATCGGTCCATGGCCTGTTAGGAACTGGGTTGCGCATCAGGAGGTGAGTGGAGGGTGAGCGAGGAAGCTTCCGTATTTACAGCTGCTCCTCATTGCTTGCATTACACCTGAGCTCCACCTCGAGTCAGATCAGCTACAGCATTAGATTCTCATAGGAGAGTGAACTCTGTTGTGATTTGTGCACACAAGGGCTCTAAGTTGCATGCTCCTTATGAGAACTGAATGCCTGATAATCTGTCACTGTCTCCCAGCACCCCAAGATGAGACCATCTAGTTGCAGGAAAGCAAGCTCAGGGATCCCACAGATTCTGCACTATGGTGAGTTGTATAATTATTTTATTATATATTACAATGTAATGATAATAGAAATAAAGTGCACAATAAATGTAATCTGCTTGAATCACCCCAAATCACCCCCCCACTGCCCCCCACTCCCCCCACCCGGTCCCTGGAAAAATTGTCTTCCATGAATCCTGTCCCTGGTGCCAAAAAGGTTGAGGACCACTGATGTACAGTATTGTTGCAATTGGTCTTTTGTCCTAAATTTTCATCCTTGCTTATTTCTCATATATATTACAATAAAAATGTCTATAGGAACTATTTTACCTGCTAAATTTTAATACCATCTTTCAGCCAGTAAAATATATTTCTCATGGGTATAAAATTTTCATGAGCTTTTACTCTCTTTAATTCTTTTAAAGTTTTTTTTCAATTTGTCAAAACAGACTATTAGTGTTAACCAAGTTAAATTAAATTTAAATTAATCCAGACGGCTTGACACATGAATATATTCATATGCAAAACATATCATAGTCAAATCAAATAGAGAAGCTAATATCAGAAGTTTTTAGAGAAAGGTAATCACATCAAGTGCAACTTAACCTAATTGAGGCTGATTTTTAAGTGACTTTTATTTCAAAGGTAGATTTAATCTTCTAATGCCAGCTTTTTTCTATCTTAAATTCAGAGCCCTTTGAATCTTTTTCCTTTTCCTTTTTTTTCCCCTTTCATCTTGTTATTTTAATCCATGGGGTGAATAAATTTCTGTCTAACAAAATTTCATTATCTCCTGCTTTGATTAAGGATCATTACAATTTGTAGATTTTTTTTTTTATCTCTTTGAAAGAATTTTACCCTCTATTGGTTTAATAAAATGCCAATATATGTTACAGGAGGAAAACTATAGTAAGGCAATTAGAACATGTTCTACTGTAGAGAAGAAATAATGTTAGTTTACTTATTTTTAAATCATATATGAGAAATTTCTAAGGGGAGAGAGTGCTCAGAATCTTTTAATAATTCTTGAAGATTCAATAGCAGACATTTTGATTACATTTAACAAGTATTTTATTTAACAATTTTTATTGAATGGCTGAGTGTGCACCATTGAGGATATGTCCCACAGGGCACCTGTTCTGATGTTAACACACTAAAAATATAAAATAAAATAAAATAAAATAAATTACAGTTAAGTGCTGCTGTAACTATTGGGACAGTAGTCCATACTACTTGAAGTGAATATGAAATATGTATTTAAAGAATCAGTGAATGAACTTTTGAGAAATTTATGTCTAAGGCAGTTTCTTTAATATTAATAGGATTTATGTTGATAATATGTGAGGGTGTTGGGCCCAAAGAAATATTAATTGGTTATATCATAGTTCCTTCCATGATAATAATACTTCATTTTTATTAGCCATCATAGTTTTATTTTCTGTAACTTTTTTATTCATATATTCTACTCAATTTCTTTTTATTTCTCTTGCCTATTCCAAATTGTTTTGCTAATGTTGTTAATGTACACATATTATATATTGGTGAAAAGTGAGAGTCCGGACTTTCAGAGCCACTACCTGCATCTGAATCTCAGCTCTGCCCCATGCAATCACTGTGACCTTGGACAAATTCCTTAACATCTCCATGCTTAAGTTTCATCTGTAATATAGGATAAATAATGACATCAATTACACAGGAGAGATATAATGATAAAATGAATTGCTAGATGTAGAGTACATAAAACAAGCTTGCACATAGTAAGCTCTTTATAAGTGCTATTATACCATTATATATTAGATATTAATTTTAGCATAAATCTATCATTAACAGCTGTCCAAAAACTATCAAGGATCGTTTGTATATTTCAGTAACTCCCTAATTGTGAATCTCATTTTCCCAAATTGAAAATATTTTCTAGTGGAAAATATTTTGAGAAATGTTGAGAAAATATTCCCAACTACCTTTTCCACTAGCTTACAGAGATCTCATTTAGGTTCTGCCAATTTCGTGCACCTGCATGAAACTCTGACTCATAGGTAAGCCATGTCAGAAAACCAGCAGGAATAGGGAACCCAAATTGCTGGCGCATGCAGGAACCAAGCAGTGAATGTATGAGGTTAGCAATGATGGTGTTTCTTTCCTAATTGTGACTGAAGCAGTGGGATCCACAGTATTAGTTGCTTAACCACCTAGTTCTGTGATGTTGTCTGAGAGTTGTTCCTGGAAGCTTATTAATATCTTAATAAATCCTTCCTGTTTAAACTTGTGAGCATGTGACGGGCGCGATGGCTCACGCCTGCAATCTAGCACTTTGGGAGGCCGAGGAGGGCGGATCACTTGAGGTCAGGAGTTAGAGACCAGTCTGGCCAACATGACAAAACCCCGTCTCTACTAAAAATACAAAAATTAGCTGGGCGTGGTGGCTCACTCCTTTAATCCAAGCTACTCAGGAGACTGAGGTAGAAGAATCTATTGAACCCGGGTGGCGGAGTTTGCAGTGAGCCAAGATCCTGCCACTGCACTCCAGCCTGGGCGACAGAATGAGACTCTGTCTCAAAATAAATGAATAAAAACTTGTGAGAGTGGAGTCTATTGACTTATAGTGGGAAGAATGACCACTATAGTAATTTACTTCAGCAGTGGTTTCAGGCATCTAGCACTTTAAGAAAAAAAAAAAAAATGTTGAGGGTCAGGGGAGTACTTGAAATTGGTCAATTTATCTGATGGAATTTGAAGTCAGTAAAGAATTCATTAGCATTAGAAAAGGATGTTGGCATTCCGTGGCACAGACTGAAGAAATATTGACATCTCTGTGGTCACTTGGAATGAAGTGCAAATTAAAATCAATTTTGACGGAGTTGCTGATTACTATTTACACCATTTTAATAGATATCAAAAATGCTGGGGGTTTGGGGAAGAATGGGTAGGCTATTCTAGCTGTGTAGGAGAGTTTAAAAATAATTTAACAGTCCAAAGTTTTAAGTTATTACCTCAGCCATTATCAGATAGCTAAAGGTTTTTATGATATTATTAGAATTATTTTTCTATTATTTAGCAACAGGACTGTTTAGCAACATGGAACCTGACGTTGCCATTATTGTATTGCAACATAGGCAGAATCTGCAGCTGTTTTAGATCTCTTTTATCATGTGCTTATTCATTCTGTGGATATTTATAGCCAACTACTTGAAAGCCACTAGTACAAATATTATGCTATAGAAATAAAAAAATAGATAAATCCTCTGTCTTCAAAGATATTGCATTCTATAGGCAGGGGGTAGGGATAAATCGAAAATTAACATCTCTGCTGATAGGAAAAGAAAACTGAAGCGAGGCTAAATAAACTGGATAATGATGGGGTAATGTTTTACTGAAGATGTCTGGAGAATGCCCACACCTCCCTCCGAAAGCACACACCAAGTTGGGATTACATGAGTAAGGGACTTATTGGGGGAAATACCTGTGAAGGATAAAGAGGCACAGTCCGAGAAGGTGGAGAGAGCTTTGAGACCACCTATGAAGGACAGGGCCAAGTTAGAAAATTGAACAGGTAGAATCTTACACTGCAATGCAATTCTTTAAAATTTTCATACAGGCAGACAGGAAGTCCCTGAGCCAAAGTCACCTGTTTAAGGAGTTTTTTTCTTCTTCAGGAGTGGACCAGCCTTTCAACCCCCACCATCATCAGTCATTGCCTCAGAGCAGTCCACAGGAAACATAACCTTGACCCAAATAAGGTAATGGAACCAGTAGGGATCATCAATTACACTTCCCAGCGCAGAAAATCTGAGCAGAACATTTTCATGTCCCTTTGATAAGATGGAGCAGAAAGCTGAAGGGAGTTAGGGATGAAGCCACACAGCAAATTGAGGGAAGAACATTCTATATAGAGGAAACTGTGAGCACAATGTTGCTGAGAAGGAAATATGTCTGGCATATTATGTGTATCTATAGCCTAGTAAGCAGAAGGTAAGGCATAAAAAAATAAGCTGGAGGGATAGCAGGATCAGTATTATGTAGGTGAAGTAAAAGGGGGAATGACTGTAAAGGATTTGATTTTTAATGAAGATGGAAAAACTTTGTAGATCGTTAAGAGTAAGAATGATGTTTGAAATTATCTGAATTATGTTTGGTCATTCTTGCTGTCATGTAAAACACAGTCTATATAGAGACATGGTTTTAAAAAAAATAGATAGGATTATATTGCAATATTCCAAGGGCGAGATAATTATGTTTGTTTGTTTTTGATGAGGGTGTCTGCCATAAAGACAATGAGAAATGGTCAGATTCTGCATATGTTTTTAACGCAGATCTGACAGGGGATGCTAGAGAAAAAAAAGAGTGAAGGATGCATTCAAATTCAGGGATTGAGTAGGAGGGTGTCAGATGAAAAATTTCAGTGAGGGCTTTGGGAGGATTCAGGTAATTCCAAGTTCCCTGAGCTCTCATATCTTACTAAGTCACTCCATGAAATAGAAATAGCCTCTCCTTATTGTCTGGTGAGTCTTAATTATATATTCCTGTTCCTGGCTTGTTTATAGAATCTGCAATAGTCTCACCTATGAAATTGACAAAGACAAGATAGATACCTTGTACAACAAAATTAGATTTATATGGGAGGGAATTCAAGGAAGCGTGAATGATGGAGCAGGTAGAGTGAGCTAGGGAGGGAAGCAAAGATTATTTTAAAAGACAGATCACTGAGGTCACTGCTGTGAACAATGTGGATGTGGTTCCACCAGATTTTAAGATATGTACAGAATGCCTCCCAGAACTGCCCATTTCAATGGTAGGGGGCTAGACAATTTATGCGCAAGCTTCCATTATTTATTGTTGGAGTAAGGAAGAATAAAAATAGTAGAAGTTGAAGTGAGAGAGGTAAAAAGAAGAGGAAAGATGACAAAGAGCATCCTAGGTCACTGTAAGGACTTTAATCTTTATTCTATGTAAAATTAAAAAAACACAGAATTTTAATTAGAAGAGTAATATTTTTAAAAAGGATGATTCTAGCTGCTCTATCATTGTAGTGGTTCAAGGAGAACATTTTTTCACGTATTTTTGTTTCTCAGATTTCTACCAACCATTGTGTTTGTGAATTACTGCCTTTTAATGTTCAAAAAAAATAAGTAATGAATGACTATAATTTCAAAGCATATTCATTTTCTTTACTAAAAAAAGTGTACTGTATATCATTTTTGTAAATTTTTAAAACTATAAAACAATATTTTGTATTTGTAAAAGCTTAAATATGTAATGTGGGTGGAAGTAATTCAAAGCAAATTCTTGATAGTGGTTACTTCTTGGTAGAGAAGAAAAAAGGATTCTTGCGTTAGATTAATTTGTCGTGTTTTGTTTCTTTTGCAGAAAAAATTTTGGAAGAAAACATAGCCAAATGTTGGCATTGAAACACAGGGTAGTGCTGAATTAGTTAGCTTTTGCTGATTAACAAACCACTCCAAAACATCTTTGCTCAAAACATACCATTTTTAAGGTCTTGATATTGTAGATGAAAATATGGGCTCAGTTTGATTGGTTCCACTGTTAAGGTTCTCCTGAGGTTACTCGTGCCTGCAGTCCACTAGTTCACTGCCAGGTTTTCATGAGGCTGATTACTGTGGGAAGGCCACATCTTGGGCAATCTTTTCTTGCAGGAGCCTAGACCAGGTTGTTCACAAAGTGGAAGGAGGACTTCAAAAGCCACAAAGTGTAAATCTCCATACACAAGCACTTTTTAAGCCCCTGCTTACATAAGACTACCTAACTTTGGCCAAAGCAAGTCATATGGCTAATCCAGGTTCAAGAGGTGGATAAATAGATTCGATCTGTTAATGAAAGGACTTCAAGTATTGAGATCCTAATACTCCTGGTCACAATTGTTCACATTTCTCCTCCAAAAAAATATGTGCTTACTTCCACCTCAGAACCCTCAAAAATCTTTCTGAATTACACTATCAAACTTGAAGTGTAGGATCCCATGGTCTATATCAATCTGTGTGCAGATGATGTTTCTCTGGTGACTCCTATGAGTAAGGCAAGTTATCTGTATTTATCCCCCTACAAACACACACTCCTAACATACAGTGGTGAGAGAGGAACAACATAACTGCAGAGGAAGTAAGTGAGAGACACAAAGCAGTCATTGGTTCATTGCTATAATGAAATTCTCCTAGACAAATGCTGCCAGGATCTCTTCCCTGGGGATAAGGTCTAGTTATCTTCCTGGAAGTGGTTTCCAGCTCACTATTCTCTACTGTATAATTACAGTGACTCCCTCATCCATCCTCTTGTCTTCTCAGATCTTAACTTTATCCTCTAGACTCCAGGCTCCTCCTCTGAGATGTTCTCACTTTTCTGCAACAAAAGCTGAGTCTATTTCTCAATCTGTTTGCTGTCCATAGAAAATGGAAGGTTCAGAGGCTTTTATTCAATTTTCTCAGTCTCTTTATTGCAAGCTGGGTCCCATTTACTTATATAACTCTTTTAAAAAGTTTTTGTGGGCTTTCTATGTATCAGATAATAGACCACTTCATTTGATAAAAAGCCACATTCTTTGTTTTCCAGACAAGCTTTCTATATTTTGGACAAGTAAGGCCACTTAAATCCTTTAGAGGTCTTAACAAAGGGTCTTAAGACTACACCCTTGGTTTGATCTGAAGCCATAACCTCAATTTTATAATCATGAACCTAATGCTAAGTTTTTTTTGGCAGTGCTTTCGGTTTCATTTTCTAACTTTTATATATTTTAAGAATTTTATCTTCACTGAAGCAAAATGGTTTCATTTTCTAGCTCATCAAATTCCCTTAGCATTTTCTTGTATGTTAAATACTCTATTTCTCCTTCATTTATGAAGTTTACTTTGGAAAGATATAAAAATTTTGGCTGGCATTTTTCTTTTCTTTAAGAAGCCCGAAAATAGGTCTTTAATATATTCTGGCTCATAAAGTTTCTGCTGAGAAGTCTGCTGTTAGTCTGATGGAATTTCCTTTATAGGTGACTTGACTCCTCTCTTTCTGATTTTAAGATCTTTTTTGTTCTGGCTGTAGTGACTCACATCTGTAATCCCAATACTTTTGGAGGTTGAAGCAGGAGTATCGCTTGAGCTCAGGAGTTCAAGACCAGCCTGGGCAACATAGTGAAATTGCATCTCTGTAATTAAAAAAAAAATAGCCAGGTTCAAGCAATCTTTTCTTTAGCATCCTGACTAGCTTGGACTACAGGAATTCCACTGGGCCCAGCTAATTTTTAAAATATTTTTGTAGAGATGAGATCTCAATATCTTGCCCAGGCTAGTTTCAAAATCCTAGACTCAAACAATCCTTCTGCCTCGGCCTCCCAAAGTGCTACAATTACAGGCATGAGCCACCATGCCCAACTTAGTCTCTATTTAAAGTTTTCAACTGTATTTTCAAATTCCTTCAGTATTTTTTTATTTCTAGACATTCTATTTGATTTTTTAAAATACACAAGCATACACAAACACATATACATATGTGTGTGTGTATAAAATCTGTCTCATCTTTCATATCCTGAATTGTTTTTCTGATTTCTATGTGTTGGTTTTTAACTTTCTCTTGGATCTCTACTAGCCTCCTTACAATTCATATTTTTAATTATTTATCTCTCATTTCAGAGTTTTCATTTTGGTTATCATGCGTTGCTATTCTATAGCAACAGTGTCATCCTTTAGGGTTGCTGAAACACTCTGTCTTATTGTACAACTGGAGTTCTTACTCTGAGTCCTTCTCATCTGGAGATGCTGTCACTTCTTATTTTTGAATTTGTTTTTATTTGGATGAGATTTTAAATTTTTCTACTATTTTCTCCCTTGAGGGTGTGACTGTAATGTATGTTATTTATGATAGTTTGTCTTTGTTTGTGGGTGTTTTCAGAAGGTCAATGCTCTGTATGAGTTCCTTGGTTTTAGGTAACTTTTGAATGGGGCTTCTCGAATGCTGATTGTTGTGGCAATATACTGGGCATGTGACCTGAGTCACTATCTTCTGCCAGAGATGGAAGGGTGGAGGTCTCAGGAAGCTTATCTGGCAGTAGGGTGTTTTGTTTGGTTTTGCAGTCTAGTAGGAAGCACTTAGAAGTAAGAGTAAAATCATCCCCAGATACCCTGATGATGAGCAGAAGCATGGCCCTGACAGTGTACCTTGGAGAGCTTGTGGTGGAATGCAGTAAGGTCTCCATGGCAGTGAGTGGGGAAAGGGCTGCACCAGCTCCTCATCCTGAGTGAGCAGGAATGCAATCTGCTTTCTTATTGTGTCCAGAATTGTTTCCTTCCGGTGGGTTCTTGGTCTCGCTGACTTCAACAATGAAGCCGCAGACCCTGGCGGTGAGTGTTATACCTCCTTTCAATATTGCGGGGCATCTGGCCTTCAGTTTAGTTAAACACTGTCCCTATCTGCAGGTTGCAAAGAAACTGAGGTCCTCAGAAAATGCCCATCCCAAGGCGACCACCAATGTGACTTCAGGGCATAACCTCTTCCTTCAGCCCAAAACAAACATCTCTATGGCTTGTCCACACTCCCCTGCATGAACATGGCTGTTCTGTACAGGGAGTGGAGATTAACCCCACCCTTCGTGCAAGCCCATAGCCCAGGGATTTGTAGAATTTAAGATTATTATTACTATATTTCTAGTGGCTTAAAGAACTACAGTAGTGAACTTTTTTTTTCTAAAGTCTTCCCTCTTTTTCCTTCAGCATACACCTTGGTTACCATCTAGTTTAAAGTCCTCCTCCTACAAAACTTCTGCCAACTAGGAAAGAAATTTTGAAAAGCTTTTAAAGAATTAAAGTTGGTTTTATTCAGAAGACTTACTGAGGAGTACAGACCAAGTCCTATAGCCCAGGAGCACTTCTATAAGACTACTCCAGCACAGTATTTCAGCCCACTCTTCATATACAGGTGGTGGGGGCTCAGCATGTGTAAAATCACATCACACTTGCTCAGAAGTTACACTGAAGCAGAAGTACGTCAAAGTATAGGTGTACGAATACATCTGGCTATGCATTATAGAAGCATAACCAATCCCGTCAGACATCTTATGTGTAGGAAAAGACAATGACATGGGTCAATTATCTTCAAATGAATAGAGAGACTCAGGGAAAAGATGTGAGGAATCATGTGCTCTATTCTGTTTTGTCTTCAAAGTTCTGGAGAGCTGCACATTGTCATGGAGTCAGGGGTACAAGCAGAAAAGAGCAAACATGGCTTCTTACATTTCCTACTTTGCCTCACACTTCAAAAACTGGAAAACCATTAAAATCCAAAGATTTTTCTCAAAAAATGTTTGTTTAAAATGAAAATATGTGCTTTTAGTAATTTGGAATGTTATAGTTGCTTGCCTGTGGCTCTGTTTTCAGGAAATATAAAATTACAAAAAAAAAAGGTGTATTTTTTTTTACCTAATGATAGTTTTCTGAAGCTGAAACCCTAGCTTTGTGCACAATATAGACTTGAGGCAGTTATTTAACAAAACAATCAAACCAAAATGAATTTTTTTCTTCTGTTAGCATTCAGTGTCCTCTGAGGAACATGTCTTTTTGCCTTTGGATAAAACCAAGTGGGCTGGGCACAGTAGCTCATACCTGCAATTTCAGCACTTTGGGAGGCCAAGACAGGCAGATCACCTGAGGTCAGGAGTTAAAGACCAGCCTGACCAACATAGTGAAACCCTGTCTCTACTAAAAATACAAAAATTAGCCAGGTGTGGTGGTGCACACCTGTAATCCCAGCTATTCAGGAGGCTGAGGCAGGAGAATCGCTTGAACCTGGGAGGCTGCAGTGAGCCAAGATCGCACCACTGCACTACAGCCCAGGTGACAGAGCGAGACTTTGTCTAAAAAATAAAAAATAAAATAAAATAAAAAATAACAAGTGGAATTACTAGGTTCTTCATGTTTCCAAGCTAAAGAACACACATGTGTTGTAACTAGGCCAATTATAGCACTACACTAAAGCAAAATGTTTTTGTCTCAAAAAAGCCAAAGTCATAATTTTAGTTAATAACAAGTACAATATAAAAAAACAAAAACATTTAGTTGTCAAAGCAAGCTTGTAAAAAATTGCACCTGAATAGCCCTTAGGTATAACTATTAACTGGTCTTTTCTAAACACTTCATTTTTTTTCTGATAATCTCAGAATTGCCATCAATAACAGGAGACCTATGCTCTAATAAAATTATGGTTGGTATTTAGTGTATTCCATCAACAATTAATGAACTGGAAAGTATAAACCCGAAGAGGCATAAAACATTTTACTTTAAACACGAAGAAAATCAATACTAACCTGATCCACTCAAGAAGTAAAAGCACATGTTATTTATCATTCAATTCTCTTTTTCAGATTTACCCTTGCCAGATTCAATTTTGTTTTTGAGGTCGTCACAGAACTAGATGGTTATGTTCAATTAGAGGAAGGAAGAAATAACACACTGGACAAGTTCATTCCCAAACTAGTCATTTTGAAAACTGACTATATTTTGAAGAAAATAGAAATTAATGAAAAAGTCTTTGAGAATCTCCATAATATGCACTATCAGTAAGAGTCCTTCTTTCTAGTCTTTTATTTATATATCATTTATATAAATATTTATTAAGCAACTACTGTGTGCTAGCATGTCTGTAAGTGTCAGCATTAGATCAGTGAATTAAATAGACAGTTCCATGTTACCACAGAACTTGTATCCTCATGCCCTTTGGTCTTGACAGGCTTTCTTCAGTTTCTCTCTTCTTCTCCAACTGTGAATAATGTCATGTTAATTTTCTCAGCTATTTATGCTTGAATTTTAAAAATATGTTAATGAGGTCTCAGAAGAGGTCAATCAGTTTCACCACAAATCCTTAGATTTTAAATATTTTGTTCTTGATGGCAAAGCTGCTTTTTACTTTAGTTTACTTCTCTTCCTGCATTTCAACAAGTTGCTTTTGTAAACATTTCCAGGCATCTCTTATTCCTGTCCTCCACAGCTATGCCTACATTCAAGATGATATATTCTGCTCAGAAAAAAGGCTGGACCTTTGTAAGCCAGGTGAATTGTGGAAACAGAAATTTGAAATCCTGAAATGGAAGTATGTAGACTGCAAAGAGAAACAAGAAAAGACCATGTTGAACATGGAGTGTCGAAGCATAAAAAGATGAAACAGGAAAAGGAAGTGAAATTAAAGATTAAAAGAAAATGACTAGAATCCAGGGTCTGAAAATCCAAAGAGACATAGCTTTAAAAAATACAAAAGTTTACAATATTGAATGCTGTAGAAATTGATATATGTTATTATAAATTCACCTGGTTTGCTGAGGTCATTCTTTGTTCTTAATTGATCAGTTTATTGAGATTTTTAGCAAAATATTTTTGGAAACTGGTCAACTAAAGTTTATACAATGCTGAGCTGGAAATTCTTACTTTTCTACTGACTTAAAGTTGTTGAGTTTATCAATTGGTTCCCTAATTTTCAAAATAATATACATAATACTTATCCTACTAAATTATTTATCTAAAGATTAAATTAAAATATATATAAATATGCCTTGTAAAAGGTCATATGACTTTAAGGATTTATTTGTATTTTATGGAGAAAAGCTTTTTTTCGTTTGTTTGAGTGTTTGTTTTAGTATACACAATTGCTTTCTATTATCACATCTAATAAACTTTAACTTTTTAAATTTTATCAAATTAAGTGCAATACTCACACATGAGATGGGATCTGACATAATCTTTAAGACTCTCCTCAGGAAATTATAATCAATAAAAGAGCAATTTTGGACTATAAGAAATATGATTGCAACTCACACACAAAAAAAAAATATTCTGAAGTAATATTCTGGGAGCAAAGAAAGCAAGACAATATTAACAACAGGGTTAATTCAGCAGTCAATGATAAGCACATTTACCATAAACTTGGGAGAATATTTGCAGATAACTGAAAAAAACCTTTCTTTAAAGAGTCAACTCCTTACTGCATTTATTATTTTGTCTTTCTGTTTCATATACAAAATGAACTTGAATCAAAATCATTTTGCCTAAATGTATGTGAAAACAGTTTAAAACAGTCATTACAACTCTTACTTTCAGTTAAATAATGTAGTATTATTTATTTTCAATGATACAATCTGGAAAAACAATTTAAAAGGTTAACTGCCTTCACTGAACCACCCTTTAGGAAAGCAGCGCTGATTAGTTTGAAGAGATTTCATTGCTAAAATGTTTCCTGTCATCTTTTTACTGCTTTGAATATGCCTCCCTAACAGAAGTCTCTAGATTGCTTATTGGTGAAATGATTTTTTTAAAGAGCATATATGGATAAATGTATCAGTGTATGCATATGCAAACATGTTGTATGTGACACATATATATGGGTCTATGATCTTAGTATTTTTCTCATTCTGACCTCAAGACGGTACAATTTCTGTTCCCTCATATCAGATTTATTTCTCCTATTTCTTTATTCTGCCCTATCCGTCACCTCCTTCACATCTCTGATAAAATGCCACTTACTCAAAGTTTTCTTTCCTGACCAACTTATCTAAAAAGAATGAAGGACCTACAGAGAAATTCTAACCCAGTTTTTCCAGATATTTTTTCACATAGTAAAAGACAACTGTGAGTTTTGTCTTTTACAAGGTAAATATCCTTAGGTTTTGTGTACTTTCATTATTCCTATAAAATTGTCCTCTAAATGTTTTCTACTTTGTCACTATACCTTTAATGTGCTGGTCTAAAACTCTAAAAACTAAACACATTATCGCCTTCATTCTAGAGGTAACACTTCTATTAAAGTACTTTGAAATTCTATTAGCATATTTGCTAGCCATCTGTTACTGTTGATTCACACTGAGTTTATTAGAAATTTAAATATCTAAATCATATGCAATGCTATTGAGCCATTGTCCCCTCTTAGATTTTGTAGATCTTTCTTAAACCCTAGCATCAGTTAAATGTGTTATATTTGACTCATCATTTCCAAATTATTGATGTAGTTCTATGGTTTATTTTATCCAATGTACTTATTTGTTGATATTTGAAGATGATTCTGTCTCAGAAAAAATTATTCTAAGATTACCAAGTTAATAATAAAGGTTTTATTAACCCATTTGAATCCCTTTTTGTCCTAGTGGTATGGTTAAACATTTGCTGGCACTGCCAAACTCCAGAGCACAATAATACTTTAGAAGGGTACAGAGATATGAAAACATGTGTCATGATTCAATTATATATAGTAATTACATATAGTAATTTCTTTGCAGTAGAAACTCTGTAATAACTGCTTTAATTATCCTATTCAAACTGTTTTCTGGCCAGTGCACCTCAGTTTTGTTTGTTTGATTATGAAATACTAATATTATTCTGGACCCTCTTCTCATTGATATGCACTCCATAATTTCTAACTCAGGATCTCATCGATTTTTTTTGATCCAAATACAAACGATGTGGCAATAAAGCTCAAATGTAAGACTTCAACCCTGACTAACTCATATTCATTGTTCAGATATGTTCTTAAATATTCATTCTCATAACATATGGCCATTTTTACATAAACAGGGAATCCTGTTATTTTGGGAAATTCCCCTTTTTCAGATTAATATATGTATTTAGTGAAAGTTAACCTTCATCATAACTCACCTTCTCAGTCATAGCAGTGATTCATGCCATATAAATTAAATTGTGTTTTGAACCTTACGGCTTTACTATATAGTCCTTATCACAAACTCATTGAGTAATTATCACTTTAACATGTGAGTATACATCATTACATTGTGGTAAACACATGATATAAATCATGTATGTTGCTCACTATTGAAGCACAAAGATTACCTGTGTCTACCCCAAATAGGTCTACTTTTTCTTCTATGGGAAAAATATACAGTTTAACACTAAAGTTAACATTAAACTCCAACACAAGCTGGTAAATGTATTGGCTAATTCTATCATTACAATTTTGACAGCCAGGCAAGAGGGAGGTCTGATTTATACTTATCATTTTTAAGGGCTTCAGAAATCATGAGCATATAAACTCATGCACACACACAGCTAAGTCACTTGGGGCTCACAAGCCAACATTCACATAAAATCTACATGCCGACTCTTGCGATTTACATTGTTAAAGTCCAAAGGAATGTTTTTCCATATATCTTGTTCTAAGTCTTCATAAAAAAAACACAGGTACATCTGAGTGTCATGAAGATTTGCAGGTGGTGCTGATGTCAGTGTTAAAGACAAATAATATTTTTCATTGCAGAAAGGAATTACATAATGGAAGCACTCAGATAAAAGACAAATTAATTAATTTGCCAAATTCTTTCTCTCAGATAGAAAGGATGTGATTGATTCTTCCATAATTCAGTATAGTTTCTCAGTAGTTTCCAGCATCTGCTTTCTCATTTTTGTTGGTGCTTCAATTAGTGAACCAGAAGTACTCATATTACTCATAGCATAGAAGTCATAATGGCATGCAGTGGCTGAGGAAATGGGCCCAATAATAACAAATTCATTGTATTATTAAATGTGTGTCTATGTATGTGAATATATACAATAATTTAGACATAATATGCATGGATTATAACTAACATGTTTATTAGTTATATATGTTATATGTAAATATACAATATATATTATATATTTAATAATGTAATATATAATATATATTATATTATAAATTATAAAGTATAATACCAATTTTACTTTGGCAAAATAATGTTTATTAAATTATAAAGTTAAATTTTTTGGAAAATATTTAATAAGATTTAATTAAAATGTCAAAAATTAAATAAAACAATGGTTTAATATTATAATTTGTAATTTAATAGTATAATATATAATATATATTTATTGTAAAAATATATAATAAATATATATTATATATTTATATGTATAAATGTGTATTTATAGTTATAGTATTAAATATACTATAGTATAGTAAACTAAATGTACTATAGTATTAAATATTAAATGTGTATTTATATTTATAGTATTACATATAGTATTAAATATACTTATAGTTTATACTATAAATATAAATATTTACACATTTATACATGTAAATATATGTTTATATATAAAGAGATGTATTATAAGGAATTGGCTCACATAATTATACAGCATGACTGTATTGGTCCATTTTCACACCACTGATAAAGATATACCCAAGACTGGGAAGAAAAAGAGATTTAATGGACTTGCCGTTCCACATGGCTGGGGAGGCCTCACAATCACGGTGGAAGGCAAGGAGGAGCAAATCACATCTTACATGAATGGCAGCAGGCAAAGAGAGAGAGAGAGAGAGCGCTTGTGAGAGGAAACTCCTCCTTATAAGTCATCAGATCTCATGAGACTTATTCACTATCACAAGAATAGCATGGGAAAGTCCCACCTCCATGACTCAATTACCTCCCACCCGGTCCCTCCCACAACACCTGGGAATTCAAGATGAAATTTGGGTGGTGACACAGTCAAACCATATTACTGACAATTCACAAGGCCTGCAGGGTGAGTGGGCAACCTGGAGACGGAGGAAAGCCAATGGTGGAGTTTCGGTCTAAAGGCCAGCAGGCTGAAAACCCAGGATGAGCCAATGTTGCAGTTGAGTCTCAGGGCAAGAAAAAGCTGATGGCCCAGTTCAAAGGAGCTTAGGCAAAAAGGAGTCTCTCTTGCTCAGAAGAAAGTCAGCCTTTTTGTTCTATTCAGGCCTGCAATTGATTGATTGAGGACTACCCACCTTAGGGAGAGCAGTCTGTTTTACAGTTTACTGTTTCCTATATTAACCTCATTCAGAAATACCCTCACGGAAACACTCAGAATAATGTTTCATCAAATATTTGGGTACCTCATGACCCAGTCATGTTGACACATACATTTACCCATAATAAAGTATAGTACCAATTTTTACTTTAGCAAAATAATGTTTATTAAATTAAAAAGTTAAATTTTTAGGAAAATATTTAATAAGGTTTAATTGAAATGTCAAAAATTAAATAAAACAATGGTTTTAAAATTATTTATTTAATTTTATTTGGTTATTTAGTTGGAATTTATATATTTTAACTTTAAAATGTGATTTTGAATATTTTGGCAAAAATACTGTTTTGAAAATATAAATAAAACAACTAATTTTATTTACCTTTACATTTAATTTAATTTTTAACAAAATTATAACCAAAATTTGAAAACACAGAATACCATTGCATTTATTTTTTAATTCTATAGATAGTGAATTAGGGCAATTAAGATTTTGATAAAACAGAACGTATAAAATTAAATACCAGAGAAAAAGGAAAATTCTAAAAGAAAAAAACAAAAAATCTGCAAATGTACAGTGCTATTATATATATTATCTATCTATCTATCAACTTTAATAAATGTGAGCAAAATCTATAAGTATGACCCACATAAAATTCATGAAAAGTATACATTTTTATTAATGAATATTTGATTATTGGCAGAAACCATGAGAATGTATGAGTAATCCCATGTATTTTCAAGTCCCAAGCTCTATAAATGTGAGTTCCATCGCTCCAAGAAGTACCAGATTTGTCGTCAGGACTGTCTGCAGATCTAATTAAGTTGTCAGGCATTCCATTGCAGAGATTTTAACATCCAAAGAAAAAAGCCTGAGAGAAATGGAGAAGAAAATAAGGTGAGAAGAGCTTGGGGCCCTAACAAAGAAATTTTTAATGCCAGGCAGAGGAAATTGCCCATGAAAACGCCTAACCCTAACCCTAATACTTACCAAGTTTTGCTTAATTCACCAAACATCAGGAAAAAGTACCAAAATTGTATTGCTACGTCTAATTAACTCACTGAGTTTGGAAGCAGAGCTCAGGATATTCTTGCTTAGAATGATGAAGTAGGCATATTCTTTTAAAGGTATGGGACAATAAGGGATAGAATTAGGGAATAAGAAAATTTTGATAGTTCCTTCCAAATGGTCAGATTTGTACTCCAGGAGCATAATTCTAGCAATAAAGTTCAGGACAAATTAACCCAGGGAATTTCTAAATAATGCCAAATATTATTACTATTATTAAGACATAAGAATTTGCATGAGTACTGTGGCAACTGAGAGAAAGTATTTTCATAGATCTCTATACAAGGGAAAAGTGATTAACCTAGGACACCATTATGGGGTTTATACCAATCTTTATCTATGTTTCTCCTGGACTGCCTTCAGAAATATTCACTTCAAAGCAGGAATACAAAGACAGGATCATTTCTAAGAGACATGAATATCCTCTGAGAGTTGGTTTAGCCTTGAGAATCCCCCATGGCTTGCTCAACATCCCTCAGACTCCATGGTATTTTCAGGAGTTCCCATTCAATCTTTATTTCTTTTCTCTTTCATTCAAGAACAATCTTACATCGTGGTCCAATGGCTCTCCCAGTTGTTCTGGATCTCTTCCCATTTTCTCTCACATGGGTTTTTCTCCTAAACAAATTCTTGCATGTTTAACCCCGTCTTCGCATATTTTTCTCAAATGACTCAGACCAACACAAAAGTAGAGAAAATATGCAGACAGGAGTATGTGCAAGCAATTTTGAGAGTAAAATTGACAGGAAATATTAGCTGATTTTATTGAAGCAGAAGAAGGAAGAGTGATGTACTATTCAAGTTGTGAAAATGATGATCATATTAACTGAGGTTTCAAAAATAGGATAAAAAGGAGTTGAAAGCAAAAATTTAAGTTCAATTTTGGAACATATTCAATATGAGATGTCATGAGCACACTGGAGAATGATGCCCAGCTGGCTGTTACAAGTGTTGGCTATGAACTCAGGTGACAGACAAAGGCCAGAGTTGCATGCTTGACAATCATACACACAGTGGAGACTATCTGAAAAACAGCGCAAATTGTTGAGATTTTATACTACTTGTATGCTAACCAGTCAGCCTGCCACAGTTTTATGGATTCTGGTAGAAGGTATGAGACTCCTGGATCACAGATGGACAATTCACTACTCATGGCAATTGCAGTAGCAGCATCACTATTTGTGCTGTTGTCACAAGCCTCAGGTACCACAGGGCCACATGAAGAGGTCCAGATGACAGATGACACTTGCACACACAGGAGGTTAATTATAGAGAAGGAACTCTGAGCTTAGGAACCCAATATTTCCTAATGAGTGGTAAACATGCTTGTTCTTTCTTCTAGCAGGTGGCATTATCTCTACTTTTCAAAGCTGCTGAGTATTCAACTATCTTTGAAAAGGTAGTTGAAATGGCTTACACACAAAATGTGCAGAAACGTAAAAGACCCAAGGAAAATTGTCTGGCAATACATATTTTTCGGTATGTTACCAGCAAACATACCGAAAAATAATGAAATTCTCTTGAAAAACTGTAATTCTAGTTGAAACAATTTGGTCCCATTTTTCACTTCAGATTATAAAAAGTGTATGTTTCTGTGTATGTGTGTGTGTGTGCCTGTGTGTATGTGTATGAATATGCTTTGTTTTGTTTTCTGATCCAGTCAGGTCTGGGATGATGTATTTGTTTCCTATGTTCACCATAAGAAATAACTACAAATTGGGTGGCTTAAATCAACATAAATTTATTTTCTTTTAGTTCTGGAGGCCTGATGTCTGAAATCAAGGTGTCAACAGGGCCATGCTCCCTCTGAAAGCTCTAGTGAGGAATCCCTTCTTGCCTCTCCCAGCTTCTAGTGGCTTGAGCTGTTCCTTGGCTTGTGTTTTGCATAAATTCAGTTTCTACTTCCATCTTCACCTCATTTTCTCCTCTGTGTGTCCTTTCAAATCTCATTTCTTTTTATGACACTTATCACTGGATTTTAGGCCCGCACTAATCCAGGATTATCTCACTTTAGGATCCTTACGTTAATTATATCTGCAGATAAGTTTTTGCAAATAAGGTCACATTCACAGATTTATCAAGTTAGACCTATCAGTTTCAGGGCCTGAGCTGGGGGGGCAACATTCAACTCACTACAGAAATGTACAGCAAAACAGGCTATTAATGATGTGGCAAATGTGTTTTCCTAGAACAATGGCAAAAGTTAACATTCAGCCCACACCCTTCTTTCAGGAGTCATAAATACCGGTTTCTGAATTTTCTATTAATCTCCTATATTCATTCACTTTGTTTCTTCTTTTAGTATTTCCCTTAAGATTATTAAAAACTCACCTATCTTATTTGTTTTAAAAGTTTAGTTTTAAATTTTGGTTAAGTTCTTTATGGATATCCAGAGGTAGTCATGTCTATCAATATTTTTCTACATTATATTTTCCATGGCTTTAAAATATTTTTTAATTTCAAATTTCTTCTTTTGCTTTTATGTGTAGAAAATCCTGAGCCAGTCAGAAATGTGATAGACAATATCTTTTTAATTTTGTCTAGCTTTTTAAATTTTTAAAAACAGTAAGCTCTTTAATCCATCTAGGATTAAATTTGGTGTTGGTATGCAGTAAGCATCTAACTTTATTTTTTCATCCATCTTTGCTAACATTTTTCTTTCAGTCATTAAGTTAGCCTTTTAAACTTCTTTTCATATGTAAAGTGTCATATTCAGATTCACTTAATCTTTATTCATTCACTCATTTAAAAACTACTGGGTGTCAGATATTCTCCAAACAAAATTCTAAATGCTATAGAAACTGCAATGAAGGAAACAGACAGAAATGTCTGCCTGCATGGAATTTATAATCGAATGAGTGGAGACAGACAATAAAGAAACAATAGTAATAATAATATGTGGCATCTTACATGGTGATAAGCTTGTTATGGAGGAATACCAACCTGGGAAAGGGGAGAAGAAAAGTCTGACTGTAGGATTTTAAAGAAAATTGTCAGAGAAGGTTATATTTGAGCAAAAAAGATAAAGAAAACAAGGGAATGAATATCTGAAGGAAAATATTTTCAGACAAAAAAACAAACAGCAAGTGCAAAGGCCTCGAAATGGAAGGTATCTGACACAGAGAACAAAGCCTGAGGGGATGAGATAGAATAAGGGGGAAAATAGGGCATATCTCTGAAAGGTATTGGGTTCATATTGTCTAGGCTCTTGTAGATAATTGTTTGGGTTATGTTTTTTTTTTTAATTATTTTTCTCTCTTGAAAAAATAGGCAGACAGTAGAGCATTTTAAGCAGTGAAATGGCATGACCTGATTTTTACATTATTTTATTTCATTATTTTTAATGAGATGGGAGTCTCACTTTGCTGCCCGGGCTAGACTGGAACTTTTCAACTGAAGGGATCCTCCTGCCTCATCCTCTCAAGTAGCTGGGACTACAGGCATGTGCCACCAAACTGACTCACTTGTACAAATAAAATAAAATAGGCAGAAGTTAGAAAAGGGAGGTATGAGCAGACTATTGCATGAATCCAAGAGAGAGATGTGTAAACTAGGATTATAGCAGTGAAGATGGTGGTAATCAGTTTAATTCTGAGTACAGTTTGAAGATGAGGCCAGTAAGATGTCCTAAATGACTGGGTATGCTTTGGAAGAGAAAGACACTCTCAGCCAACTTTCAGCATTTAGCCTTGAGCTTTTAGAAAAATGGTGTTGCCCTAACAGAGATGGGGATATTGCATTAGGTAGAAATTTTGAGGAGGGAAAATGGTGATAAAATTTAAATGGCTATTACTCTTCCAAGCAGGGACTTTGAGTAGATAGCTGGAAATGAGTGTCTGGAATCTAGGACGAAGTCAGTATCTGAGTCATAAACTGCAGATACAGTAAAAGCTGATATTATAGAATTAAGGGGCAATTGTTGGAGTTTGGACCTTGAATAGGTTTAAAAAAAAAGATGGAACGCTATTCCCACATGGGGCCATTACACTTTGCCTAGGAACAAGTTTCCCATGGTAACAGGGAGGAAAGGTAGAAGTATGGGTACAGATGCTGGTAAGTCACTGAATATTTTTGGAGCTCGTCTAATGTTTTCTGTATTCTTAATAAAGGAGAAAGCTAGGTCAGCTGTGAGTGAAGACGTGAGGTACTACAGGGTTGAGGAGGAAAGAGAATGTATGAAATTGCTGTCTAGGAGAGGAAGGTAGTCAATGAACTAGGAAAATACTGTGTGATTCCAGGCAGTACTAAGGGCTAACTTAAATCACAAAATTATGACTTTAAAGTGAGACTAATCAGTATGCTAATGTGGTTTTCTTCAGACCTGTTCATCTCGGTGGGAGTAGATAGAACTAAATATACCAAGGTTATGGCTTGGCCAAATTAATATTATGAAGCAAGAGAAAAGAAAAGGGATATTTATAAGGCAATTATAATAATTATTGACTATGGATTTTAGGCTGGGTAAGGAGGAAAATAAATAGGCAGAGAGTGTAATAAAAAGCTAATAAACTTTCGACTTCCAGCATTCTCACTTGACCCACCTTTTTCCAGGGTTCTGGGTGGGGCTGTCATCGTTTGTTAATACTTATGCTTGTGATTTTTCTAAAAAGGAATTTTAATCAAAATCTTTCTTGAAGGGCTGTTACGGAAGTCTCCATGAACAAAACGAAGTAAACAATCTAAAGTGAATTTAACAATGGCCTGGAAAAATCACTTCAAAGGAACTAAACACGATTTAGATTATCTTCAAATATGTTTACATTATGTCATAGTTTTGAAATTGATACCATATTTCTTAAGTGATTTTTATAGAGTTAGCCCTTACTATATATTGATATTTTTATAAATGTGAGGTATTTGATAGGCTGGTTAAGACTAATTAGTACGGGGGAATTTCTTCTACCTCAGGAACATGCAGGAAAAGACAATTGTTTTTTTAAGTAAGAAACTTGTGCAATTATCTTAAAGTTTGCCCAGTCTCAAATTGGATTTATTTCCTCTAGGTAAAACCTAGCCCTCAGAGGACAAGCCACTTTAATAGTAATTATGACTTTAACTAAGTATTATAATATCTTAATAACTCAATATGTATATCTTTGGATGAATGTCTTTCTCTTCAAAACAGTCACTTTCAGAGAATAAACAGTTAGTTTAATAATATTTTCCTTACTAAAAAAAATTTCTAGAATTCCTCTTAAAATTCCCTTCAGGGCTTAGGTCACCATAATATCTATTAATAAAACCAATTACTACTTATGGAACTCTATATTAAATATACCATTTTGATTGATTTATTTAAGTTCACCACCTCATAGTATCTTTCCAATAAAATAAATCTTCCCAATAAAATAAAATAAACGGTATTTCATGCCCTTTCTAAGAAGACTTTTTTGAAGAGTAGTTTTATGTTCAAGCAAAATTGAGAGAGAAAGGTACAAAGATTCCATATATGTCCTCTGCCCCTACACATGCTTAGCCTCCCCCATTATTAACATCCCCCTCCAGAGTGGTGCATTTGTTATACTTGATGAAACTACATTGATATATAATTACCCAAAGTCCATAGTTTACATTAGGGTTCATTTATGGTGTTGTACACACTATGGTTTTGGACAAATGTACAACGACATGTGTTCATCAATACAGAAGGATTATACAGTAATTTCATTGCCCTATTAATTCTCTGTGCTTCATTTATGTATTTCTCCCTACTTCCAGCCACACTCCTGATTTATATCCTTTTCATAGATAAGGAAAGTTGGACATAGAGAGGTTTAATTGCTCAAGATCTCATATACTACATAAGTAGCAAAGTAAGAAGTTTTTTTGTTGCTGTTGTTTTTGTTTTGTTTTTTGCTGTTGTTGCTGTTGTTGTTGTTTTGAGATGGAGTCTTGCCCTGTTTCCCAGGCTGGAGTGCAATGGCATGATCTCGGCTCACTGGCAAAGTAAGAATTTTAAACCAAATTCATAAGACTCAGCATCATCACACTATGCTAACTTCCATTTAATATGGATGTAAAGATAACATTGTATCAAATTTAGATTCTAGTGAATGTATTTGATATTAACCTATATAATAAAAATATTTGTTAAGCACAATGAAAATTACTGTTGTAATTAAGATAAGAAATTTTACTTTATGTCTGAAATTAAGTCTTATTGAATATTGACCTTAGGTTTTGCATGTTTATGCCTGGGAAAGTGACCATATGGGCAATTCCAAAAGAGAAATTAAAATGAGTATAATGCCTCTCATATTGACTCTATTGATGGAGAATAAAGCAATAAATAGTGTTTTCTCAACTAATAAAATCTGCACTGTAATCCCACCTTTATGGAAAGGGCAAATATCAACATAGTAAATTATTATTAATACAGGAACATCAACATTAATATTTTATTCCATTCTATCCTAACTATTTAATTAATTTTTATCAGAATTTGAAAATTTCTGCAACAATTTTGGTCAGAACCTGAAAAATTCATGTAGAGTATAAAAATGTTCATACAAATGATGCCAGTGATGGTTTGGATGAATTTTTTATTTAACCAAAAAGTTATTCTCAGAGAAAATTTGCTAGAAAGAGCACTGTATATTAGAAGATCTCATAAGCTAAGAGTATATTTCAACCTAAATAAGTAACCTAGAACTAGAAAATTATTTAGTTTTTAATACAAGCTAACATTTTCAGTACATTTTCTGTGGATGAGCTGCTATTCTAAGGACTTACATTGATGAGTTCTTTTAAATTTTAAAACAACAAATGTAGGTTGGGTAAGGTAGCTCATATCTGTAATCTCAGTACTTTGGGAAGATGAAGTGGAAAGATCACTTAAGGCCAGGAGTTGGAGACCAGCCTGAGCAACATAGTGAGACCCCTGTCTCTACAATTTTTTTTTTTCAATTGGCAGGTCATGGTGGTGTGTCCCTGTAGTCCCAGCTATTCAGGAGGCTAAGAGAGGCAGATAGCTTGAGCCCAGGTGTTTGAGGCTGCTGTGAGCCATGACTGTGCCATTGCACTCCAGCCTGGGTGACAGAGTGAGATGCTGTCTCTGAAAAACAAAAAATGAAAAATACAAATAAATAACAAAGAAAATAAAAAACAAATGTAATAGGTACTAATATCTTTTAGTAGTCGATTCTGCATTAAGCTGTCTGGATGGATCTGCTTTCTGTCCCTTTCCTGGACCAAAGCATTTATTTCCCCAGCTGCTGGAAGTATTACCTGTTAAAGACTTCACCTGAGTCTGTCACCGTTGGAACTTGATCTGAAGCCAAAGAGATTGCCTCACAGAAGTTAATGCTCCACCTAAGAAAGACCCTACAACTCTGCTTCCTTCACTTCCTTATAGGTATTGTTCTTCTGAGTAGTCCCCAATAAAGCTCCAAGCAAATATCCACAAGACAGTCTCCATATAAGGAGCTTGACTTAAGACATATTTCTGTTTCATTAATGAAGAAGCAGAAGCCTAGAGGCTAAGCAATTCATCAGTATTCACGCAGGTAAACATAGAATAGAGCTAGGATTTTGAGTTAGAAAATCTGACTCCAGAAGCCCTGTTTTTAAACATTACGTCATTTTACCTACTCCATTAAAAACAGCACATTATTTTCAGCAGAACCAAAGGATGTTCAACCATTACATGGTATTCCAGGAGGACATTTTAACAATATACGTGTCATACAAGAGAGTAAGATTTGCTGTGAATACCCTCATTTACCTCACATTCGCAGACTACGACCATATAGTTTCTTCTAAAGTTTATGTTTGAACGCGTTGAAATTATGAAACTAACAAATATCATGAAAACCTTCAGATAAGCTAGAATACACATGGAAAACATAAGAGATTTTTTTTACAGAATCCACAATACGTAGTAACTTTGATTAGTAGTAAAGATTGACATTATGTTCCTTACAGTTTTTTAGCAAGCACTATCATTTATATGACTAGAATATTCAAAACAGATGTACTGGCAGGAATGGACCAGCAAACAACAAAGTGCAAATTTTCATGACATATTCAGTGAATTGCAAGCAAAGACATCCCACTTGTAAACAACCCTTCTGTTTAATGCATTCAGCTTGTAAAAAGGAAGAATCTGTTGAGTCAAATATAGTTAAAAAAAAATATCCCCGCTTCAAAGACCTCTCTACAAAGATAGTACAGACAAAAGACAGTTGCATTATTTAATAAGAATTAAAGAGCATGTGATTTGTATCATAAGCAAGATAAGGTACAATATCTCTGCTAAAATATTGGAAAGAGAAATCTCAGACTTTTATATAGTTAAGTAGAAACAACTCTTTACATATATGTTTCCAAGATTAATAACTAATCTTCAAGTAAGACGACTCAACACCACTTTTTGTTACACACAGCTCATAACTTTATATGGCAATTGGAATCGCCCTCTGTGTTAGCTAATTGACTTTATTCCAAAGAAAAACAAACTTCTCACATTTTTATGAAAGAATGTAGTTTTATAATTTGAATCAAGGTGCACACTGAAGTTAGACTCCTATCTTGCCACAGAAATAGGGAGATGAGGGTGCTATCTTTCTGATGTTTATATTTTAAAGACATGGCTCCCATGACCTTGAGAAAGATATTCCTAGGTCACAACACTGTCAAAAGACCTATGTCATTTTCAAAGAAGAGAAGAAAGTACTTGTAATTACAAATTGTTTAAGTAAATTTTCTTTTTTATTTTTTTTTTTGAGATGGAGTTTGCTCTTGCCGCCCAGGCTGGAGTGCAATGGCATGATCTCTGCTCACTGCAACCTCCACCTCCCTGGTTCAAGCAATTCTCCTGCCTCAGCCTCCTAAATAGCTGGGATTACAGGTGCCTGCCACCATTGCCCAGCTAATTTTTGTATTTTTAATAGAGACGGGGTTTCACCATGTTGGCCAGCTTGTCTCAAACTCCTGACCTCAAGTGATCTGCCTGCCTCAGTCTCCTGAAGTACTGGGATTACAGGCATAAGCCACCATACCTGGAGTCTTCCCTTATTTTCTTCTTTCTTTCATTCTTCTTTTTTTTTTTTTTTTTTTTTTTTTTTTTAGATGGAGTCTTGCTCTATCACCAAGGCTGGAGTGCAATGGCGTGATCTTGGCTCACTGCAATGTACGCCTCCTGGGTTCAAGTGATTCTCCTGCCTCAGCCTTGCGAGCAGCTGGGACTACAGGTGCACGCCACCATGCCCGGCTAATTTTTGTATTTTTAGTAGAGACAGGGTATTACCTTATTGGCCAGGCTGGTCTTGAACTCCTGACCTCGTGATCCACCCTCCTCAGCCTCCCAAAGTGCTGGGATTGCAGGCATGAGCCACTGCACCTGGCCTCTTCCCTTATTTTCAATAGGGAAAATTAAGCCTTTTGTTTTAATTTTTATTTGTCATTATGAAACCAAAACTTAGGGAATAGTGGCCTAGACAAAGTATAATTTCAGGAGACCCTAAAATTATCCCTATTAATGACTAAACAAATCACATTTGTAGTCAGATGTACCATGCGACTTCTAAATACCTTACTGAGGTATGTTCATTCTTTCTAAATTGTTAGTCACTGAAGACAAATGAACTATTATTTGTAAAAAAGAATGGAGAAAAACAAAGTATTTGCTTACAATTTTTCCTAAGAAGGGAAAATATGTGGGATTGCACCATGAATACTAATTATACTCAAGGAAAAGTTTAAAAAAGGGATTAAGACATCATTACATTGTTAATATTTAAGATGGACAAGGTGTATAATTGTTTAACCTTAGATTTTTTTTCATTATTTCTTCTTAGAAACGTGAATCTACCTCGAAATAATGCAATATATTTTTGCATCTCTGGACAAAAACTGTATATATAATGTGGCTTGTGACATAAGTTTCACCCTGCTTCCTTACTCTTGAAAGCCATTAAACTTAACTTTGTCCATCCAGAATTAATTATCTCAGCAGTCAATTCTCCAGTGACAGTATACTATACCTGTAGCAAGTACCACAGATGGCAGAAGACATTTTTCTTTTCTTTCTTCCTTTTAACACAACGAGTTATTTTTCTATTTGTAGAAATATATATATATATCCCATTCTGTAATTCTATCAGTCAATAACAAAACATACATAGATTCTGTAACAATGGTGTTTGAGAGATCTTGTGTGGAATGACAATACTTTTAAAAGATTCTGCTTTTAACACGTGTTTCTTTTCTGCTAAAAGACATTCTGCAGAATAAAGCTCAGAACGCAAGGAAATCAATTCCCAAATGGGTCTGTATTCCCTCAAGGCCACTTCTCTGCTCTTTTGTCATTAATTGTATTGACAGCTGGTAGTTGCTACTTTGAGACAATTTATCTTCTCACTGCATATTTATTGAAATATATCTTGTTGTATTATTGACCTTACACCATGAGGAAGCAGTGAATAATGGCAAAATCCCCTGGGTCCTGACAGATGGTTTTAGTATTCAACTTTGCTGTCAGCATTAGGCCTCACAGCATATGCAAAACAAAAGAACATTAGCCTTTGAAGGGAAAATGAAATGTTACCTGAATTAAAGGAGCAATGTGGCAATTCACGTACAATATTTGTGTTTAATCCTGAATTTCGAAGGTAAAGTATCTTCAGTTGCAAAATAATTTCCCAAGTTTAACGACAGGAAATACAAATGGATTCAATATGTGTACTGCTGATATTCAGAGCCAAAGGGAACTCATGCAGAGCCAGAATGTTCAAATAATTCTAAACTTTGTCTTTATTAAGTAAAATGTTTTCAATATATCAGTAATATTCTACTTTAATATAAAATATAAACATCTAAAGGAAATATTATTTATTAAATATGAAGGTTTTGTGATATTTAGGCTCAGTATATGCTGTATGGACCCCTGCTTTTTACTTTCTCTCTTTGCCTCTCCTTTATCCCTGCTCCAATTCATTCTTCATTTTCTCTGCAGTGTCATCTTTCCCAAACACAGATACAGCTATGTCACTTTCCCTGCTTAAACATTCTCAGGGATACTCAGTTTCCTAGAAAATAATGTTCGAATCTCTTAGTAAAAATGCAAGACCTTCCATAATATGGCTTCTGTTTGTTTTTTCTCTAGTCTCATAACCAATTCTTCTCAAACTTTACAGTTGAATTGCTCTGCAGTGAACATATTTCAAGATTATTTCAAATGATCCATGCTTTCATATAATTACCTCTTATTGAGTGAGGGTAAATCTGTGAGTTGCTTTTAACCAACAAGATATAGCAACTATGATGGGATGTCTGAGCTTTCATTGGATTGTGTTACATGGCAAAAGTGATGTGAAGTCACCTTAATTGTTATGTTACATTATAGAAGGTTCCATCCACCAGACTGGAGAGAGACTCTCCCTTTTGGCTCTGAAGAAGGAAGCTGCCATATTGTGAGAGGGCCAACAAAAAAGGCCGCTTGGCAAGGAATGTGAGCCGTGTCAAGGAGTGGACAGTAGCTCCTGGCCAATAACCAGCAAGAAAATGGGGGCCACAGTCAAACAGCCACAGAAAATAAATTCCTCCAACAACCCAAATAAGCTTGGAAATGGATTCTTCCTCAGTCCAGCCTCCAGATGAGAGTGCATCTCAAAAGGTAGTGTCAGGTCCTCTTACTTAAGGATTTTACCTGCTTAAACATTCTCAGTGATAGTCAGTTTCTAGAAAATAATTGTTCAAATCTCTTAGCAAAAATTCAGTTATTGTCAGTCTTGGCCTGTTGATTCTAGCCTTGGGAGATCATGACCTGAGGGGCTAGTTAAACCATGCCCAGATACCTGGCCCATGGAAACATGAGAATAAACATTTTTTTTAAAATGTATCTTGCTTTAAGCTGCTAAAGTTGTAGTGAGCCAAGTTGGCTGTCCATGCCTTTAATCCAAGCTACTTGGGAGGCTGAGGCAGGAGGATCACTTGCGCCCAGGATTTTGAAGCCAGCCTGGGCAATATAGCAAGACCCTATCTCTAAAATAAAATAGAATGAAATAAATTTGTGGTGATTACTCCATGAAGCAACTGAAAACTAATACATGCTCTTAGTTTCCTAAACATGCCACGCCTATTCATACCTCTAGCCATTGCTCATGCTGATATCTCCTTCCCACTATCTCTGCCTAAAAAAATTCCTGTGTGTGGTTGAAGTTCCACTTAATTATCTTCACTTTGAAGATGTCCTTGGTCTAGAATTTTAGAATCAAAGTCTCTTTCTGAATTTCCGTATACCTGTTATAGGTCAAATACAGCATCTTGCATAATGTCCTCTTGTTAAGTGCCTGTTTATCTGTCTCCCTTCCCCCATGCTTAAGGATATATGTATGTGTACACAAATAGAAAAATACATCCAATTAATCTAATGTTGCAAAGAAAAGAACTGTGATTTACTTTTATTTCTCCATCGCCAGTCACAAGTGCTTGGTACACATTTATATGCGTTAAGTCAGTATTAATAGTCACTTTTAAAATATATTAACAATTATTATGATGAAACAATTATAATCTAACAATAATTGAAATAATGTATTATAAACAATATATTCTGTATAAAATAAATATATTATAATAACTATAATATGCTATTATTTTATATAATAATATACATTATATATGTCATTAATGAGCATTAACTATGTCCCATGTAGTGAGTTAACACTTCACATACATTTATGTTACTCAAATACATATTATTACTGATATTTTAAAGTTATAAAGCTGGGCCAGGCATGTTGGCTCATGCCTGTAATCCTGGCACTTTAGGAGGCCGAGGTGGATGATCACTTGATGTCGGGAGTTCAAGACTAGCCTGGCCAACATGGTGAAACCCTGTCTCTACTAAAAATAGAAAAAATTAGCTGGGTGTGGTGGTGCACTCCTATAGTTGCAGCTACTCGGGAGGCTGAGGCAGGAGAATTGCTTGAACCTGGGAGGTGGAGGTTGCAGTAAGCTGAGATCGTGCCACTGCACTCCAGCCTGGACAACAGAGTAAGACTCTGTCTCAAAAAAAAAAAAAAAAAAAAGCTAAAAAGCTAAAATTGAAGCATGTAGTTGGACTTCTGTTATTTTTAAATTCTCATTATTTCTTTCATACCATGTCCTTTCGTTCATTAACAACAACTGTGTTTCCTCTAGTGATGTCCCCTCTCTGATTCCACTAGGCACTCCATCATGAATATCAATACCCTCCTGTCACATGGGAAGACATGTGACCCCCCCCCCCCGCCGCCATGAGGCTAACCAGACTCTTCTCTCAGATATGAAATGAGGATAGTGAGAGATAGCTCAACATTTTTATCTTACATGTACATACACTATATGTTAAAACTGCTGGTGACCATTTTTCTGGACATTGAAGAGAAAACCACATGCAGAAGGAAGTCCATCAGAACTAATACACATGTCATGAAATAGAACTTTGCCTAACTGTTTTAAGCTCCTAGATTGAGCAGTTAATGAAACAAATCTTACCCCTAAAAAGTGTTTGAATTCATAATTTCCTTTATGTTTGAGCTAATTTAATTTGGATTTCTCCTGAAAAAATACAAAACCCAGTGTCTCACTGACAACAAATGATGAAAATCAGGATCTGAATTTAGCTCTGTGTCTGAGACCAAAATCATAGTTTTATAGCAATTTATTGCTTTCTCCTCAACTAGGATGTAAGCTCTTAATAAGAACCCTATATTAAATATTCTTATATACAATAATACTTTCAAAAAAGTATCTTAATTATGCTAATTACAACAGTGTTTATTTATTATACACATGTAATAAACAGCTTACAATAATAATACTAATCCATTATTTTTATATATTATTCATATGTAATAATAAAAGTACATATATAATAAAAATGTGTATTCCCTTTTAGTTATATTTTTAAAGGTTTGCATAAATATGACAATAAATATCTGTGAGTTGATGAGCAGAGGTAGCAACCTGCACTTCACAAATGTATCACATAATAAAAAGTCAAATAAAACTTATGAGTTTCATGCAGACTGGTCTCTAGGGCAGCCAAAGAAACAATGAAATGCAAGAATCAGTGCTACAGTAGTGTACTTCTTTGTTTCAAAATACATATTTGAAGCTTTCTTTAGTCATTTAAATAGAAAAAAGGGGAATAGAGATTGACCTAGGTTATAACAGTCATACAAGACATAGAAACCATTTAGATTCTGCATTTTTCTCATGTGTTTGTATTATCTTTACAATGATCATATTTTAAAAATTAAAACAGAGGCATAATTTTCATTTTGAAAGGTTTAGTAATTATATGTAAGCATTTTAATTCCATCTGTTAAGGTATTTGGTCTTAAAGATTACTAGAGGGCTTGAAGAATAAAATGAATCTTTCTTATCCTATAGAAAATGCCAATTTCACTTTATTGTGGGACAGAAGAAGCACTTACCTTGCTTTTTTTAATTTTCTGTTACATTTCAGTGAAAATATTCTATAATATTTTGAACTATAAGTTGTATGCAATGTAGTAAACCAAATAACATTGTCATTTGAATAATAGATGTATGAAAAAGCACATATGCATTTTTTCCTGAGATGAAAGGCAATATGTTAATCCAAAAGTCTTAATAAAATCCTGCAGAATGAAGATATTCAGCAAGCTAGATAATTTAAAATTAAAGCAGAACTAGAAGCAAGGTACAGCCTTCGAAAAATAAGTGCCATCTCAGCATTTGATGTGCTTTTTGAGCTGTAACATTTTGTTTTCTTACTCTATAGAAGTTGAAATCATAAAAACTATAATAATAAACTATTTTAGTTCTATATAATAATTGAGTGACATTCTTAAAGAGCCACTAATTGCATCCATCAATGAGCTGCAAGATATTATTTTTTGTTTCATGTAAAGATAAGCTTAGTAGTGTCAGTCTTATGGTAAGCTGCAGTTAGCCCACAGACTTCAAATTCAGCCACTTGTTTTATTTCATCTCAGGATTTCTTAATTCTACATGGTGTAACATTAATAATATGATGAATAGCTGTGAATTTATATGTGCAGACTAAATATTTTAGAGCCCTGTGATCACCTTTATTTTTGAAATCTTCCTAAAATAGTTAAATCTACATGTTCGTTTTATTTTGTGTTGTCTAAGTAGATCAAGAAGAAAACCTTTAAAACTTCTCATACTATCTAAAATGCTAAGTAAGATGTATCACTAACACTAAAAATAAAGTCTAAGTTTAGAATTCAGAAGGACACATCATAAATATTAAGGTTGGAATGTACACAAAAGATCATTGAGGCTAAAGTTCTCATTGTGTAAGTGAGGAAAGGGTGTTCTAAAAACATACCTGACTTTCTTGGCATTACAAGAAAATGCTTAACTTTTTCTTTCTCCTTCAGTCTTATCTGGCAAAAACACCAACTCTGAAGTTATGGGCTGAATTGTCTTCCCCTCAAAAAAGATGTTTTGAAGTCCTAGACTTCTGAACCTCAGAGTACGAACTTATTTGGAAATAGATTAATTGCAAGTGTAATAATTTAAAATGAGGTCACATTGGAGTGGAGTGGGCCCCAGTCCAATATAACTAATGCCCTTATAAGACGACAGCCATGTGAAGACAGAGACATGCAGAGACAATGCTATATGACTGCAAAGGTAGACACTGGATTTATGCAGCTGCAAGCTTTAAATCAGCAACAGTTGCTAAAAAGAATAGGATGCCCCTAAAGTTTTCAGAGGGAGCATGGCACTACTTCCACCTTGATTTTTCACTTCTGGCCCCCAGAACTGAGAGACAATAAATTTATGTTGATTCATATCTCATAATTTGTGGTCCTTTGTTACGGCATCCCTAGGAAACTAATATGTCAGGTCAACCCATGAATCTGCTTTTTATTTTGCACACAGGGCCATCTAAAACGGTAGAGAAAACCATAAAATCATGTGGACCTGTCTCACTTGAATTCATTACCAGAATGCTCAAAAGAATGCTTCATGACAATCCTACTACACTTCCCAAGCAAATCTACTTCCCCACACACTAGAAGGGTGATTTCACAAAGTCTCCTCTTCTAAACTATCCAGTGCCCTCTACCTACCTCATTTGATGAGCATGTCTTTATACCACACTGAGATAATGGAAGCAATTTAAACAGACTCCCTCATCTTCCACCACCAAATATATCATTATAAGTAAATATGTAGACGTTTATTTTTTCTCATTACACAAGCAGAAATATCACTACAGCTCTCAAAATAATTTATGTTCTATGTGCTCCTTATACATTCCCTCTCACCTTAACAATGTCAATCCTTGTTTTGCTATGTAAAATTTTTTCCTTGTCCAATATTCTAATGTTCTGATATTATTCTATAAAAACACAATTTCAGCATTATTTTGTAAAATCAAAGACAAAATAAAACTTCTCTTTGACCATAAATACCCTTCCAATTATTCCTCCTTTCTCTCCTCCTCCTCAGAATAAAATTTCTTAAAGAGATGGGTGTAGTTTCTATCTGTATATCCTCTATCTGTATATCTGTATATCCTCGTCTTTTCACTTTTCAGAACACACCATTCTAACTTGGGTCCTCTCTACTCAACTGTAACTTCTATTGTCAAAATTACCAAAAACCACTATGTTGCCAAATCCATTGGTACTTCTTGGTGTTCACTATAGGAGATTATCCGAATCTTTTATTAAGTTTGACTGCTCCTTATTCTAAAAATATTTTCTTTTCTTGATTTCGTACCTCTGATTTTACAGTTTGTTTGTTTCTTTGTTTTTCCTAATCCCTGGCTTCTCCTTTCCAGTCTCCCTTTCTGCACACACCTCCTCTACATTTCCTGTCAGTGCTGGAGTTCTTGATATCAGTTGTATCTCTTCAGAAGAGCTCATCTGGTCCCATTGCATAGACAATATTTCCAAAGGTATATTCGCAAGGTATAGTCTAGCACTGGCATCTCCTCTGACTTCTAGACACATCTATGTCTTGAACTGCTTGAAATGTCCTCTTGGAAATTTGATTGTTACCTCAAATATAACATCTCCAAAATGAAATGATCTTCAAAGCCTGTTTCTTCCCCACTGTCTTCAATCTTAAGAAAATGATATCATCAGCCAGATACTCAGTCCAAAAGCCTTGGAGTTAAGCTTAATTACATTATTTTCCTCTACCTTCTGTCCACATCTTGTCTAAGTTTTATTGGTTCCAACTTCAAACTGTAACTAAAATACTCACACTTACTATCTCCACTGCCAACAATCTACCAAGATTGCATCATCTTCTGCCTACATTATTGAAATAGCCTCCTACACAACCTGTTTTCTAAACAACACCTAGAGAAGTATCACAAACTGGATATGTGAAGGCTGTATCTAGCTGGGAGACGTTTTACTTAAATTAATCTGAATGTCTTTAGAAAGAGAATGTGCCCTCCAGTTTATCACAGCTCTTTGTGTACATCAAACCCACTTGACTCATTAGGCTACAAGCTTGTCTCCTGTAATAAGCCGAGTTTTGGATTATGATCACATGTCATCTTCCGAAAGTGTAAATCAGGTTAATGTAAGATCTTGCTTAAAACCCTCCAATGGCTCATTATTGAATTAGAAGATGTTCCACACTCTTGACTGCTGTCTTCAAGACCTTGCGTGATATAGCATCTTGCCTCACTCATTAAGACTCCTCACTCGTTAGTATTAACAACATCAGTTTATTTTTTTATTATTCTTCGAATATGTCAGACATTTTAAAATGTTATTAGTATACATTTTCCTTTCTGCTTGCAATGCTTTTCCAAGTCATTTGAAAAGACTGTCCTCCTATTGTTACTTAGGTATTAGATTAAATGTCACCTCATCCAAAAAAAAACCAGCTTCAGTGAGAATTCCCCTCTGCCATTTAGATACCTTCAAATAGTTCTCTATTATAACCTCTGTATTATTCCCTCTATGAACTTATCATTGTCATTATCTTACCTATTTGTTCACATGTTAATTGTGAGTCTGATCTCATAAGTACTTTGGAGCCATGGCTATAGCTGTCTTCCTTGCCGCATCTACAGCATCCTGTGTTTGTTTGTTGAGGATAATGGCCTCCAGCTCCATCCATGTCCTTGCAAAAGACATGATCTTGTTTCTTTTTATGGCTGCATAATGGAGGTGGGGAAGAGGGAGAGCATCAGGAAGAATAGCTAATGAATGCTGGGCTTAATACAACTAGGCAATAGGAACTTAAAATAAAAATCAAAATAAATATCCATTCTGCCATTTCTAACCATGTGAACTTGTGTATGTTGCTTAATCTCTTTGCGTCTAAGTTTCCATATCTGCAGTGAAAAGATAATGGTAGCATCTACTTCACAGAGCTGTTTGAATAAGTATATGTTATGCACTTAAAAAAGTGTCTGCAATACAAAGGGTAATCAATTTTGTTCCCTGATTTTATTATTTTTGTGAAAAATGTAAAGGTAGATATTTAAGTGAATGGAATAAAATCAGCATGTTTGGTATAGAACTTATGAATCCAATATAAAACCCCACTACTTTATAGTATTCTGATGTATAAATGGAAGAAAAACATTTATCTAAATGTACTTTTCATTAAAAAGAAGATTAGCTTTGATCTTGACTATTGATTTACTTATTGACCACAATGTTTTAGACTAAAATAATGTCAATACCAGGAGCTGTTTTAAAGACAGGAAAAATAGAACAGTAAAATAGACCAGCTTTTAAAGCAGTAAAAAGACTGCAGTGCTAGACAAAGAAATTATCTCTTCCAACAGTCACATATTTAACTTTTCTTCTGTCATATCACTCTGTATCTAGTGCTTATATTCTAAGATTCTTTTGACATCAATAGTTCAAAGTTATAATAGAATTATACAAAAAAAGTAAAAAAACCATTCATTTTAGGTAAGCCAGATAAATTTCTTTACTTTCAGTCTTTTGTTACTTCATTTTCTTTAATCCTGCCTCATAATACTTCTGCAGAATTTCTGAGTCCTAGCAGACCCACATAAATCTCAGTTCTGTTTGTTTAAGTGTTTTCAAGTAAATATCTTTCTTGAAAAAGTTTATTGTTTCCCCAGGAAGCAGAATCCTTTCACATTTATTCACAGTTTATATCGAGCATGGCAAATTGAAGTGCGAATTTGTTCATCTATGTGCCAATAATTATAGCTTTTCTTTTTCCTTCTGTGGCTTTCTCAAGCAAAACTTGATGTGCAATGAGATTACCAACCAAGATTCACTGTCAGTCTAAATAAATGGAAATCTTGTCACCTTACACTGTTTCTAAATAATAATGTAATTGAATTGCCGTAAGAAAGATTTGTTATAGTTGCTATGGCTATGCAGCTAGGCTGTCTTATGCACTTACTGAGGTTAGAGTACCTGTACAGACCTCCAGGGTGTAAAGCTGGAGGGAATTCCAGGACTTACCAGCTCGGGGGAAAAAAGAACCCTTCTGCAGTGAAACTTGAAGCTAAGAGGCCAGGTCAGAAACTGCCTCTAAGGATTGAACCAACTAAACTCTTTAGAACACAGATAAGAAGTTATCATTCCAACCTTGCAGCCTTGGATAGAGTTTATTGAAGCCCATTGTCTCCAAAAGTCAGGAAAATAATAATCTCTCCTTTCAATATCATCCAAGCCACCACTGCCCCAAAACCTAAACAGACTAACCTAAACAGGATTTGAGGTAAATCTTTACTAGCAGACAAAGATTATGATAGAAACAAGGTGGACTCAGTGGCTTAAAACGTGGAGACCTAGTCAAACAACCAAAATAGGTAGTTATATTACGACAGATTCAATGGAAGAATTAGAAGAGTATTTTACTAGAAAATGATTTTCATGAAAATAAAATTGGAATTCTTAGAAAACAAACTTTAAGTTTTAGAACTAATAAAAATGACATAAATTTACAAACTTGAAAGATGAACTGACATACTGAATGGATTGTAATTTTAAAAAAGTGATTTGGAATATCAGAAAAAAGCATTGTTAACATTCTTATCAGTACCGGTATATTATTCAAAATCATACTGAGGTGTATATCTTATGATATGAAGACAACAAGAGGAATAAATATACAAAAATAAAATGTTCAAGCTATCGTAAATTTGCTCAAAGCAACATTTTCTCCATAGAAAATTCAAGAAAATCAACAGAAAAACTATTCTTTAATATATTTTTGGAAGTATGTTTTTTCTTCTATGGTGAGCAATTTATAAGCCCATTGAAGTCAGTTTTATGGATATATGTAAGTGTGTATATTGGGTGTATTTAGTAAATAAATGAATCTCTCCTTTCATTCCACCCAATACACATTATAATTGTGTAAACGTAATGACACCCAATAAATATTTGTGGAAAAATATTTGATTTTTCTTTGCATTCAGTAATATTTCATCCATTAGATATGCGATTCATTTATATTTTGTGATATATGCTATTGAGACTTGGAAGTTGGTCCCTCTAATCATTAAGCTTTTTTAGCCAGCGGTATGATTGGCAGGAATATATTCTAACCTTCTACTGTTTTTCAGGTAAACAATGTTTTACTAAAAGGATTAAACTACCTTTTAGTAATATTTATAAATGTATTTGATGTCCAGAAATGTTTAATTCCTCTTCTGCTTAAAAATAGTTTCAGCAGGAGCTACTTTCGTCTAGGAGTACATATTTAGATGTGTACAAATAATGATTATCTCATTGATTGTTTCCAAAGTATCCTAAAGAATACAAGTGCTGAATGTTTTAATTTACTTAGACAAAGGTTACCACCACCAGTTATTTATCATAGATTAAATTTGTTATTTCACAAAATTTACAGGAAGTGCATAAGGTAGACAATAATGATTATAACTCATAGTACCAATATAATTTCTGTATTTTATCTTTTTATTGCCAACTCCCAAACCTGTATCTCTTATTCTATTTGTTCCTTTCAATCTATTTATTAGACTAGATGATATCCTTAAGTCAAATTCAAAATGCTATTGAATTATATGTTCCTAGTTTCAGAAATAACTGTTGTATAATAAGTACTTCTGTTGTAGAGTTTAAAGTGTAATGAAGCAATATCTTATTCTGAAAAAAACTAATTGTTAAGCAAAAGTTATCTGCAATGCCATGTCCTGAAACAGCATGAACAGAAATGGAAATTGAAAATGAACTGTGGAAATTATTTTGTATCAATGTTACTGATAATTACACAATTCTTAAAAGCATATTCGCAAAACATAAAACAAGGAAATGTTTATTTTTATAATATTAAAGTTTAAAAATACATATATTTACGTGTATATGTGTGTATATTCTCATCGTATAAAAATCTGAAAAAATTCATCAAAATTTTAACAGTGATTATCTAGTTATCTCTAAATAAAAATTGAGTGACATTTATATTTCATAATTTTATACATTTCCAAATATCTAAATTATATTTTGTTCTTATAATTCCTACAAAATACAGATGATTTAGTTGGAAAATTTGATTAGAGTTACTTGATAAGAGTTCTAGAAAGGTAAATTTTGGCTCTTGGTGAGGAAATGTTCTAATCAACAGAATTAACTGAAAGGTATTGAAGTGTCAGCTCGAGTGAGGATTTCTCTCAATGTGAAATGATTAGAACACATATCTCTCCTTATAGCAGAAGCTTTAGAGAGGCTTCATCCTTAGCAAAAGTTTGGCACCTAAAGCCTCTCATCTCCCAGCCAACCCATAATCATACTAGAGTAATCACACAGCAAGTGCCAAATTCTGTTTTTGTTGTTTTAGCATTTACTAATAAAATATATGTGTATCTATGAATTCCTATATAGAAGCCTCCTGGTCTCAATAAAATACTCAGATAATCCATTTTAATTCATTATTTAAAAACATAGTGTACGACTACATATAAGGTATTACCTCATGTGATTGGGACAAGATTATTAACAAACATCATATAGTCCAGAAATTATTTGTGATAAAATATAGATATGAGTAAAGACTGTCAAAAGTGTGATCCCAAACTGATATTTTTAACAGCCTAAACATAAGAAAAAATGTGAGTTTTTTACTACTAAAGTCATTTCCTTTAGAGGCACTGAAAGAGATACAGACTAGAAGAATGATACGTGGGCATACTGCAATGCTCATATACTTTCTGTGTTTTTGTCCTGGTTTATTAAATATTGTTCATGATTTGCTTCTTGTTTTTCTTTTTAAATATTCCCATGCAGTTTCCCATTTCTTGTTATTAATTATTATTCTCATCCATCAATTACTCTAGCCATCTTTGACTCATATATTTTTGTTCCATAATCATTTAGGCTCAGAGTATATCTGGCTTCTCAGAGTTCAAAATGAAATTTGGCCCTTTGGACCTAAAACTTTAAAGTTACAGATTTGGTGAGTAAATGCTGAAAATACATATTTTAAAAATTAATTTAGAAGTTTCAGAAACATTTGTGATTCACAGAAAAGGAAAACACACATACACACACATACACACACATACACACAAAACATGCTTATTGAGGCAAAATCAGATTAACCTAACAGACATTTTTAGCTTCAATTTAAAAATTAAGAAATAAATACTTAGGAAGTTACAAAATTTTAAATTCACTTATACTTGTCATCTATTAGTAGCTATCTAATCTACACACATACACACGTTAACATATTATCAGATATGTTTTGTCTAAGGGCAAGAAAAGACTCACAGGAAGTGGAGGGTGCCTCTTAGTTTATTCTGGTGTGCCCAAATAGTTACTATGTCTATAGTTGTAGTCAGTGAAAGTGCTGTGATCAGAGCAGTTGAAGCAGCCACTTTATGCAAGGGGTCCTTGTGTCCAGAGTAATTTATCTTTCCCAGGAATCTGGGTAACAAAGATGAGGGGAAATTGGGCTCAGTTAATCCACCTTCAGCCCAACTGCCCCGCAACTCCATCCCAAATCATTGATATGATACAAGTGTATAATACAAACAATTATGTTGACAAGTAGTTTTGATTTTTATATTATCATCTTTATAAAGATTCTACCCTTAAATTTCTGTCATCCTGTTTGAAAATCATTGCTCAGAAGAAAGCTTATCGTCTGGTGATGAATAGCCAATTTGAAAGCTATGGTAGATAGGCTGGGCGCGGTGGCTCACGCCTGTAATCCCAGCACTTTGGGAGGCCGAGGCGGGCGGATCACGAGGTCAGGAGATCGAGACCATCCTGGCTAACACAGTGAAACCCCGTCTCTACTAAAAATAAAAAAAATTAGCCGGGCGTGGTGGCGGGCGCCTGTAGTCCCAGCTACTCGGGAAGCTGAGGCAGGAGAATGGCGTGAACCCAGAAGGCGGAGCTTGCAGTGAGCCGAGATCGCGCCACTGCACTCCAGCCTGGACGAGAGAGCGAGACTCCGTCTCAAAGCAAAAAAAAAAAAAAAAAGCTATGGTAGATAATTATAATACAAATACCAATTTCTGAAATTGTGAAAAATAATTAGAGGTTTTCCTTTAAAAAGTGAAATAATTTAAAAATAATAATTTGCCATTTACCAGATTATATTCTAAGAACTTAATGTCGCATTATTTTATTAAATCTCCACAATGACCCTCTGAGGAAAGTAATATTATTAACAACACTTATAGAATAGAAAACATGGTTTCTAAAGCTAAAGAACTTGTCCGAGCTTATAGAGTACTGTTATGATCTCGATATGGGGGGAATTTTATGCCCCCATTCATGTTACTTAATTACTCACTAAAAGGAATATATTATAAAAACAAACATCAATATTGATTTTTCTTTTTATCAATTTTTATTTATTCATGTGTAAACTGACACTATTAACCTCTTCTAAGAGTTAATCCTTAGACAGGGATTTCTATTAAAATTGTATGACCTGATAAGTTTGTCTTAATTATCTAAACATGTTAAATATGCATATCTGAGAAAATTACATATATTTTTAAAGCTATGTGTTAATATAGCTTAGCAATTACAAGCAATTGACCTACAAAACTAACCCTTAAATAATGAGTTATCTAAGACTAAAATATTTAAAATAGTCGGATCCCAAGTGACTGTAAATTTCTGCACTAACCATTGCATTCTGTTTTGCTTAACTAAACAAGTATGAACTAACTCAATTGCACTCTGTTTTGCTTAATGGAACAAATATTTGATAATCACAGTTAATTATCATGCTTGTTAAATACTAAATATAAATAAACAATAAAATGCATTTTGGTCATTTTAAAGTAAATTAGCTACGATTGTAATTAATTGGGTTTCTTTTCATTTGTCTTTCCTTTACAAATGTTACTGAACTCTAAATTTTCTTTAAGGTACTAAAATATTTGAAATTATACATATATAGATATATCATTCTCTTATTTTGAAAGAGATGTATTAAAATACAAGTCAAAAAATGGAAAACGTTATTATTTTAATTATTTTACATGTCAGAACCAAAGTCAATTTAACTAGTTATGGTTTAAAAATAATGTGTGGAGGAGAACTCTTTCTAATATTTACAAGCAACTATATAAATAATGAAATCACAAAATGTAGAGTTAAAACTGTCATATCAAATAGCTAATGGAAAGTAATATACGTTAATATTGATTTGAGAGATAGTATCTAAATTATTTAGGCTTCCTATTGATTTCTTTTCAGAATGTGAAATGTTTCTTATAACAAAATCAATATGGCACTTTACAAGACATTTGGCCAAAAGTGAGACCATTCTCTGGGCAGCACATTCGCACATTCAGAAACATATCTATTCCATCCCCATTTGGTTACCACAATAAACTTGTTGATAGAAATGCTAATTTGAGGAATACAATGGACAACATATATTTGCTACTAAGCATGGGCCATTCAGATATTTTGTACAGCCAGATCATAATAAAAAAGGGTAAACAGACAGATGAAATATAAAATAAGGAATACATATTCATTATGGTAGCTGTTGATTGTTATATCAAAAAGAAAAATAATATTAACAAAATTGTTTTAGAGACTGTAATCTCTTAAAAAATATTAACAAACAAACACAAACATATAAACTCCTGATATTGAAATTCAAGTTTTGAAATGAGCAAAATTAACTTCTGCTATTTCTATGTATACTAGAAAATTTTTCAGCATGAATGGAAAACCTGTTATATAAAATGAATTCCATCTATTTTAGACATATTGTGGACATTATTATAGCTAAATAAACTAAAATGTATTTTAAATTGTGTTATTATAAATATGTTATTTTAAAAGGCTATAAAAGTTATTAAGTGTTGCTCGGTGCCATGGCTCATGCCTATAATCCCAGCACTTTGTGAGGCCGAGGCGGTGGATCACCTGAGGTCAGGAGTTTGAGACCAGCCTGGCTAACATGATAAAACCCCGTCTCTACTAAAAATTCAAAATTAGCCAGGTGTGGTGGCGAGTGCCTGTAGTCCCAGCTATTTGGGAGGCTGAGACAGGAGAATCACTTGAACCCGGGAGGTGGAGGCTGCAGTGAGCCAACTTCATACCACTGTACTCCAGCCTGGGCAAGACAGAGCGAGACTCTGCCTCAAAAAAAAAAAAAATTATTAAGTATTTATACCCTAAATAAGGCTATGAGGTGGGATCTATACCTCATTAGAAAGGTGTTCCAGGTTTTTAAGTAAGTAAATTTTATGACTAAAAAAAATTTTCCAAACTAATTTTAACAGTTTTGCGACACTATTTTTCAATGCTTTTATTTTTTTGCATGCACACATTTACATTTATAAGCTATTACTGCAGATTTTATAGTCAATCATTAATTCAATTTTTGTTTCTGGATCTAATAGCTTTTTTGTATTTAACAGACGTTAGTCACATAAATACATAAGCAGTAATAAAAAATTGCTTCCGACAGGATTGAATGTAGATAACTTGCCATTGTTTACACAGAACAGATCGTTTGTTTCTACTATTGAGATTTTTACAAAGGAGTTGTGGGGAATATAAAAGTTAAGGGGATTCACACAGTAAGAGATGTAAATCTTGAGAAAGTATAATTTAAATGGAGACTAGTCCAGTGCCCAAGGTAAAGTTCATCACTTTAAATCTGCTTGATGTTCTAGGCTTCACCAAGAAAGCTACACTCTTTACATTCCTTTCTATGCTATGGAGTCAATTTATGAAGACAAAACAGGGACAAAGAAAAGCGTGTGCTTTGGGTTGGGTCATGCCATTGGTTATATTTCTTAGGGAGCTGTTGGCAAAATAAATAAATAAATAAATAAATCTAAAATCAAAGCAATTTGGTAATAGGGGAAATGTACTTATTTATTTTATTTTTTTGAGACGGAGCCTTGCTCTTTGTTGCCCAGGCTGGAGTGCAGTGGCACTGTCTCGACTCACTGCAACCTCCGCTTCCGGGGTTCAAGTGATTCTCCTGTCTCAGCCTCCTGAGTAGCTGGGATTACAGGCGACCACCACCACACCCGGCTAATTTTTGTATTTTTACTAGTGACAAGCTTTCACCAGGTTGGCCAGGCTGGTCTCAAACTTCTGACCTCAGATCATCTGCCCGCCTCGGCTTCCCAAAGTGCTGGGATTACAGGCGTGAGCAACTGTGCCCGGCCAGGGAAATGTATTTTTAAAAATGAACTGTGGATATGGAGATCTTTAGAATCCATCTAACCAGAGGCAGAATTGTTCCTCAAATCCAAAATAGGACCTGATATACAGTTGGAGAGTAATGCATTCTACTTGTGTGAGTAGGAGCGAGATAAGACCAAAATTAGGTAGTACCATAGTGCAACCTATTAGTTTTGTTAACTGATAGTTTCTTGTTATTGCCAATATTTGAACGTATGATTGTGAACAATCACAAGGAAGCTATATGCAAACTAATAAGATTTAATTCTTGGAGTAACAACACTTCCTGTTTAATGTTGGGTCCTTTGTGTTTCATTTAATAGACTAAGCTTTTGTAACGTCATCTGTCTTGAAGGTTATAAAAATGTGCTATCATAAGTTCTCTGTAACTTGAGTGTGTTCGCTCTTTTCTGTCATCAGAATATTTTGTTCATTCAAAGAAATTATGTCATTGACTTCTAGCTGTATTTAAACTTAGCAGTGCATAGGAATAATCTAAAAAAATATGTGAGGATGCTGATTAGATTTATAATTTGTGCAAAAAACTCACTCTTTTTAAAAAACACAACTCAAAACCATCATTATTTCTCATTTATTTGCTTTTTTATTTTCTGGACTTTGAAGAATAAAATAAGAGGTACTAAATGTTGTTGGAACTGAGATTTTCAGTGTTATTCTCTGTCACAAATTTTCCGGGAACTTTCTAGGGAAAAGCTGAGACAAAATAAAAACTTGTTTCTATTGTTATAAATAGCGATGGAAAATCAATCCCTTCTGTTCTCTAACTACAGGCTTTTATTTATATCATGCATAAATTTAATTTAATATGGGTACTCAAATTGCATTCTTCAAAGAAATGTAAATATGTGGGCTTCAACTCTGAAATCCTGGCAAATAAAATAATATTCAAGAATTTTCCCACAGATTAAAGCGCCTCCAACTCTGTATCAATAAATGTCAATGAATCACTCAATGAAGAAACCAAGTCAATCCTGAAAATGCCTCCTTCCATGCCCTCAGATATATAATCCTTCAATGAATCTTAACAATTCTGCCTCTATATGTTAAGATCATTTATTCCTATCTGTCTCCATTGCCATACTCTAATATATCTCTGCTGCCAAGTGATAATTCATTTATCACTATGATTTCTTATCTACTCTATCCTTAACTATTCCCCTTCCATAATTTCTGCAATCTCCCACCAAGTCTCCATTCTCTGCAGAGTAGTCAGAGTGATTTTCTTAAAATGCAAATCAGATTATTTCATTCCCATGCTCAGAAGTCTCATTACTCCCCTGCAGAAGAAAATGAATTACAAACATTTTAGCGCGCTTTACATGTCATTGCCTTCCCTCAAGCATTCTTTTGTGTCTGTCTTATAATAAGCACATAATAAATATTATTTAATGAATGCATTGTAGTAAAAACATCAATTTCTAATATATTACACAATTTGCTTTTCTATATCATAAATTATTTGTTGTCACTCTTTCACACACACACACACACACACACACACACACACACACACACACACAAAGGAAACCGAAATCAAAAACAAAACAAATCTCCTTGATAAAGAAATTTTTGGTAAATTTGGTTCTTTAATGTATCTCCAACACTAAATATGGCCTCTATATTAAATCTCCAAATATCACTTATCAGTTGACTAATGATAATTGCAGTGGCTTCCTCTATAAATGAGAAAGTTGGAAAGGTTGCTGACTCTCAGAGGTGGGAAGTATTGCCTTCAGGAATTGTTTCGGAGCACTTGAGAGCCTGTGTGTGTTTGTCACGGGAGGTATGCTGCTGGTGTTGAAAGCACAGACACCAGAGATTCACATCATCTCACAACATATTGCACAGTGAACTATTACTATATATCGCACATGAATTCTGACGTTCTGGCCATGCATTTATGTAGATAAAAAACTGGTTTTAATTATCTGGGACTAAAATATTATTTCATTTTACACATACATAAAAAGAGTTTTGTATGGTTTTAGTGTATAATAAGTTTTCCAGAAATGAAGCTACCTTGACTATTGAGGTATTGTTGTACTGTTATTTTTTCCTGAGGATTGTTCACCATTTTGTAGGATTCCATTAATGCTGGAAAAGACGTTTATGGCATTTAAGTTACTAATGTAATACCACATGTTGAGTCTGTATTTCTAGTTTTCCCATTCATGAGATTTTTTGTCTGTATGTATACGTTTGTGTATGTGAATATATCTACTTAACCTTTACTGTAAATTATAAATGTAAAAAAATTAAAACAATATGCTTTTTATTTCCTTTACTTATCTTCGTATTTATTTATTACAAGTCAACAGAACCATTTGGCTACTTTGTTCTTAAGCTTTCTTGCCCAATCATTTACATATTAAAATAGATATGTCCCTTGCCTTACAATAGGGTTATGTTTCAATAAACCCATTGTAAGTTGAAAATATTGTAAATCAAAAAATGCATATAATACACCTCACCTACCAAACATTGTAGTTTAGTCTAGCCTATTTTAAATGTGCTCCGAACACTTGCATTAGCCTACAGTTGGACAAAGTTATGTAATGTAAACCTTATTTTATAATAAAATGTTGAATATCTCATGCAATGTATTGGATACTTTACTGAAAGTGAAAAGCAGGATGGTTGCAAGAGTACTTGAAGTGTCATTTCTACTGAGTACATATCACTTTTGCACCATCATAAGTTCAAAAAATTTTAAGTGGTAACATTATTAAGTCAGAGATCATGTGTACATACATATTATTTACTAAACATTACTTTTTCTTTATATCAAAGTCATAGAATTATCTTGATAAAAATTATGTTTGTAGGTATATTAAATTATCTTAATTTCAGGCCAGAATATTTAAGGGCATGTGGTAGGCAGAGTCATGCCGCCCCTCCTCCAAAAAAAGATGTCCATATCCTAATGTCTACAGCATGTGATCATGTTACCTAATGTGGCAAAAGGAACTTTGCAGATGTAACTGAGTTAAGGATTTTCAGAAGAGATTATTCTGGATTAGCCAATTGGGCCCAGTATTATTACAACAACCCTAATAAGTGAAAGAGGAAAGCAGGAGAGTCAGAATTACAGAAGATGTGATGATGGACATACAGATGAGACAGATGCAGATGCTTGCTTTAAAGATAAAGGGTCCAAAACCAAGGAATGCCAGCAACCTCTAAAATTTGGAAAAGGCCAGGAAAAAGATTGTCCCATAGAACCTCCAAAAATAATGCAGCATGGCTGATCCCTAGACTTAGGCCAGTGAGACCCATTTTCAGCTTCTGAATGAAAGAACTGTAAGATCATAAATCTGTGTTGTTTTAGGCCACGAAGTTTGTGGTAATTTGTTACAGCAGCAAGAAGAGACTAATATGGGGTCTCTAAGTAAAATTGCACTGGACAAGGAAGATTTTATTGAACGCTGTTGTAATAGAGAGATTGCACTCAACTCTTTTTTAAGTACTCCAGTAGTTTTGTCAGCTAGTCAAAAAGTACTGGAGGATATTAGAGGACAGGTCGGTCAATGTAATTAGGCCATCTGTGTGTGCCAGTTGTCGTTTATTGAAGTTAGGCTTCTACCTTCCCACAGAAACTGGGAAATAAGAGGTCTATGTTTACCTTTCAGAGGGATAGTGCCCAGGTTCTTGAGAAAGACACCCCTAAGTTTAAAACAAGCAAAACACTCCTCAGTTGTAAAATTCTGCATTTTAAAAGGACAGAGAAAAAATTTGTGATTATACTTTTTTTTTTTAAGTAAATGCTCTAGGAAAAGAGAGGTCAGGGGCCTAGAGTCAGGAAGAAGCCTATTTAAACTTTCATCAAGCTGTGGAGGATGTTAAGACTGTCTTCATCAGGGGGCATTAAAAATATTTGTTTAAACATATGTATTGTTAAAAAAAGTAGTTAAAAATAAAAATAAAAATATTGTGTCTGACAGAGCTGAGAATAATTAGACTGGATGAATTTGAATTTTGCCTTCAATTTTTAAAATTAGATCTCTCAAAATGTTGAATATTCAATGTGCTATTCTGGAAAATTTGTCATAGATTGTTTTTATTATCTTGCTATTATCAAGATTCACCTGAAATTCTGTTTTCCACAAAGGCTTCCTTGGTTTTCAAACCCTATTATCTCTCTCATAAAATGTCCTACAATTAAACATTTTCCATATACACTTTTGAATATATGTCATATCTATAATTAGATTACATGTTGTTTGAGGCTAAAGACTTCGTCCTGTCCTATGCTGTGTTTTTGCAATCACAGAGAATACGATGTTACATTCTTAACACAGTATGTACTCAAGAACATATGGTCATTGCTTGACTGTTCTCTCCTGAATTTTACTAATGTGGTTAGAATAAAAATTTCAGAATATTTTTGAATTACTTTAATAGGAAAGTATAAATACATCTACACTACTCTGGTCAAAACTGAAACATTTATGAGAAACCCTAATTTTTGGCATCTTACATTTTGCAGGGCTAAGGACTGCAAGCACATTTATCAGAATATATCCGTGCTGTTAAAATATGTAATTACATAAGACAAATACTTTGATTTAACATAATATTTACCAAAGTCATGTATAACTACTATGAATTAATTAAGCTCACTGTCTCATAGAACCTTCTGCCATGATGGACATGTTCTGCATCTGCACTCTTCAATACATTAGCCGCTAGCCATATGGTACTATTTGGCACTCAACATATGGTTACTGTGTTTGAAGAACTGAATTCTAAATTTTATTTCTTTTTGATTAATTTGACTTCTGGCTTGTAACCACCATAGTGAGAAGCTCAGTACTGAATCACTGAATTTATATAATTATTTTTAACCATAGCCATTGACCTGAACTCATAGAAGAATCCTACAATAACTGTTTATTATAAAATAATAAACATATAAGTTTCAAAAACATTGACATACTGCTATGTAGATTTCATTTTTTAAGCCACTGAAACAACTTAAATCAAACATCTTACTTCCATAAAATAAGTATGTTTATTTTGTTTTGAAAGGATAGATGAAAGACATGTGAAATCCAAGGGAAAGATATAAAATTCAATGTTTTAACCATGAATGCCTTGTTAAACTAATATTGAGATAAACAACACTTGTCAGTTGCAGAGTTATACTATTATTATTTGTTTTAAATTTATATGCTCCTTTACATGATTTCAATAACCTAGTAGCACTTTGTCTATGTTTATAAAAATGGTTTCTGAATTTTATATTCATGACTATAGTTAGACCCAAATAGCAGAGATCATCTTTATAAAGTTTTAATACTTCCCACAAGGCGCTGCTCTAATCTTTGATATTTTCCCATTTTTTTAGGTGTGCTGTAGACTGTTTTCAACTAGTTTGACATTTTCCTCATTCATTGCTGCCCTGATTTTTGCACCTCAATTTATAATTTATTATTGATTTTAATTAACCTCACATAACACACAATCCAACTGACAGATCCAAGAACTGAGTAACAGCTTGGGAAACAAAGGAAAAGACAGCACAGCAGAGCCTCAAAAGGAATGGAGTGACACATGCGGAGTACTTAAGAAAGAGGAAATTCATGTCAGGGAACGATATTGTGGCACTTTCTTTAAATCAAGAGAACTTTCCATGATCAAATTCCACACACAATTATTTGGCTCCTCTGGAAAATGCAGGCAGCACTGTCTGGTGACCACATTGTGTCTTTAACAGCTGTATTATTTTATTAATTACACAAGATGGGAGAAGCTTTTTGTAGTTCATTGTCTGCAGTGACATGATAATAAAACAATTTGGTATTCCAAATTTTATATATTCTTTATTCTTTGAATCTTTTCGAACTTCTGAAATTCATACTGCAGACTTCAAACCATGACTTTATCACTAATTATTATGATTTTAAGAGACATAAAAACTCAAAGTAATAGTCTCAAATTCAAAGAAACATTTGATAACAAAATAGAATTTTAATTTAGAAAGCCATCACGATTTGCAACAGAAACTAACTTTTGATGTTTAAGTTTTAGAAGATTACATATAAAAACCAGATAATTGAAATGCAAAACATGAGATTTTTATCTGTAAAAGTCAGAAAATTCAGTTTTGGTCCACACAGCAAAACTATGAACTTTGATACCCTTCCTATAAGTAAATAATTACTTATTCCTCACCATTGCAATGTTCATCCGATAGCAAAACGCAAACACCAAGTGAACAATAGTACCTTATTAAGGATCTTTTTCCTTGACAGGAAGACTGTTTTCATCTATACTTTGCTGTTGCTATACTAAAAGATTTTCATATGTGATGAAATTTCAATGAGAAGCATTATAACATAATATGTAGAGCATAATAGTTAATGCATCATGAGGAAAGTCTGCCAGCATTCAAATTACAGTCTGCCATTTACTCTCTTTGTGACCTTGGACAGGTAACTTAACCTCTTTCCTGATTATATTTATGAGGCCAGAAAAAGATCAGAATAAGAGAATGTGCTCCACAGCCATCAATTCCCCCAGGATTCCTTGTGTTCTCTTCTCTATTCTGAACATAATCTGTGGCAATACAGTTGGGATAGGACCAGTGAACAAAAGAGCAAGATGTGGTTGCAGCCAATCAACTCCTGCCCACTGTGCTTGAAGCTGTGTCTTATGGTGGGCATTGTTCATTTGGTAAAATCACTTGCTTTCACACTCTGTATGAATTCATACCAGGCTTCTCACTGGGCATGTTTTTATGTTAATCTGCTGTCCTTTCTGTGAAAAAGAAAGAAAACTGGGCTCACTATGTTAACAATCTTCATGCTACCTACCCAGATCTCATGTATGTGAATAGTAGAAAAAAGTCTTTCCCCAGAAGTTTTATTTTGGCAGTTTTCTTTCAAGTACATCACAGAGTACCTACTTAAATATAATCTAGGTAAACATTAGTGTTTCATCTTCTGCCAATTGAAATTCAGAGCAGTTGTAATAGGAACTGAAGGACCAAATGCTCAGTGTGTCTTGAGCACCCTACTGAGAGGATCCAAGCACACAGTGACTTTTGAAGTCACTGTGGGCTCTAGGCTCTAATCATTACCTTGGGAGGTGTTAAAGAGATGAGAATGGGCCCCATGGATGCTTTTAACTGGTGTTATTATCATTCATAGGAGAAATCACTGGATATATATCCCTGAAGTAAAACTGAACAATTAAACAGAAGCCTGGCTAGAAAGCATCAAGAAATCACAGGGTATATTCTGATTTATAGGAGATCAGAAAAAGAAATATTTTATCATTCAATAAAAAAATTAAAACATCCCTAAAACTCAAATCCTTTGCAAGGTTCAGGTAATATATCCACCACCATGTTTTATTGTAAACTAAGTTCAACCAATGTCAGCTCAATAAATAATAATTAAAAAATTCTCCTTCTGGGAGCATATTACAAAAATATTTCTATTTTATTTTTATATATCATATAAATCCTATATTATATTGCTATTTTTATAAAATCCTAGGACAGTGCTGAAAAGAATGTGACAAGAAATTGTTTACAAAACAATATATCTGAGAATTGTTTTTCACAAGATACATTATTTGAATTTTTAAAGGATCAAGTTGTTTAAATATTTGTTTGTGCCCTGAATTTAGTTTTCGAGTTCCCCTTAAGGAAAGATGCTTGGAAATAATTTAATCAAAATAGAGTAGTGCTTTTTATAGTTGCCTTTTGATCATATGTGGTCATTCAGTAGACATAATATGTATATAAAATATCACCTTCTTATTTTAACAATAAATCTGATCTCCCTCACCGAATGATTTTTCTATAGTTCTAAAAAGTAACATTTACATGAGTAGCTGGCTTTCATTAGGTTATATTTGAAAGGATTACAAGAAATGAAAGGACCAAAATACAAAGAATTCCAGTAAGGCAAAAAGAAGCTTTCAAAGGCTCCTCCAGGTCTATGGAAGTTTTAGCAACGCTTATAATAGTAAAGCAAATGATCTGTACAAACTCTGGAGCCAAAAGCCAGGCCAACCTCTCTCAAAGCAAATATATCTTCAATGAAAATAGGAGTTGTTAGGAAGAGGGAAAGAATAAAGCATGCCAGGACAGCAAGCAAGGGTGTCGAGTATGCTTCACATCTTTGCCTAATTTCCATCTGTATCCTGCTTCCTAAACACATGTACTAACCCTCCCCCTTGAAACATCTTGGCTACCTCCCAGCCATAAATTTATTGCACTGAGATCTGAGTCCAGCATTTCTGGTTGATGGCAGTTCCATTAGTTCTGCACTGAACTCTTGATACCCTAGCAAACGAGATAAATAAGTTACTCAATTCTAATGTACTTTAATACTATTCAATAAAGTTTTTCCTTCCATCATGAGAAAAATGGGAAACAACACACAGTAATGACTGATGAACATCACATATCATCTCCTCCCGGTAAAAAGCCTCAAGCAATTTCTGCTTAAGAAATCGAATAGAATTCCTTGAATGACCAATTTGGTAGCATTGGTTCTAATTTTGGTGAGGAACTTCTTCATTCATTGTCTTAATGATCCCTATCTTCCAACATTGAGGAAAACTTTTGTCAATTTTATTTCATGGGAATGACCAAAATCAACATTGGCGAGGCCACCTAGTGGGGCCATATTTTTCTATCATCCCACTTTCTGTTAGTGCAAATTTAGGAGCTTAGGATGTGCTCAATTAAGCAATCAAAAGTTGTCAGTGAGCAGGCTTATGTTTTTAAATAAATATATCTTATTTAAAGTTGCAGCTGGCTCTATCCCTATTTATATCTGGCCAATTCCACAGTCTAGTAATCAAAACCAGAGATTATATTTAATCATAATCTGTGCGCCTAGAACTAGCATTGGATACTTTTCTCTCTTAGTCAATGGCATTGATCTTCTGTGTGCTGTATATTCACCTGGATCTTTTCAAAGTGGTCTGCCCCTAGAACAATTTGAAGTAGTGATTAGATTGGTAAAAACATGGATATTTATATCCTTGTCCTAATTCCATATTTTGGTTGCCTTTCTGCAATGTGAATAGTTACCTACTTTATCAAACTACATTATCTTAGGATAATTATCTTGGGTGACATCAGTGGAGTCATATATTTCTTAGTCCCTTGTACTTTCTCCTACTGTCTCCCAATTAATCTTGTCACCAGCCCACTGTAGGGAATTAAGCTTGTCTGACTATTCAAGTATCCAAATTATCAGACTCTTGGTAAATTTGGATTGTAGACCGAAAGCAGGATAAGTCTTGTCAACACTTTTTTTTTTTTCTTTTCTGTCATGGTTTGAATGTTTGTGCCCGCTCCACAATTCACATGGAAACTTAATCTCCAAAGCAACAGTATTAAAAGGTGGGGTTTTCAGGAGGTGATTAAATCATGGGGTCTGGTCCCTTGTGAAAGACATTAAGGCCCTTATGAAAAAGGCTTTAGGCACCATTAGGCTTTTTTGTCCTTCAGCCCTATTGCCTTTCCACCTTGTCCCATGTAAGGACACAATGTTCATCCCCTGTGAAGGCCACAGAAACAAGGTACCATTCTGGAAGAAGATAAGGGGCCCTCATGAAACATCACAGCTGCTGACACTTTGATGCTAGATTTCCCAGACTCCAGAACTTTGAGAAAATAAAATTTTATTGTATAAATTATTCAGTCTGTGGTATTTTGCTATAGCAACACAAATAGATTAAAACATTTCTTTTTATTCTTTCAGAAGACACTTTCAATAAAATCTTGCTTTTTTTAATACAAATTTGTTGGATACCTGTGCAATTTTGTTACATGCGTAGATTGCATAGTGGTCAAGTTTGAGCTTTTAGGATATCCATCACCAAAACAACATGAATTATACCCATTAACCAATTTCCCATAATCCGACCCCCTTCTACCCCCTCACGCAAGTCTTGATTATCTATCATTTCACTCTCTATGTCCCTGTAAACTCATTTATTAGCACCCACTTATGCATGAAGACATTTGATGTTTGGCTGTCTGTACCTGCCTTGATTCATTTTAGATAATGGCCTCCAGTTCCATTCATGTTGCTTCAGAAAGAAATGGTTTAATTGTTTTTTATGACTGAATAGCAACTCATTCTGTATATGTACCGCATTTTTAATGCAATCATCCACTGATGAATGTTTAGACTCATTCATATCTTTGCTATTGTGCTACAATAAACATATAAGTGCAGGTGTATTTTTGATATATTACTTTATTTTCCTTTGGGTAAATATCCAGTAGTACACTAGATTGAAGTGTAGTTATATTTTTAGTTCCTTGAGAAGGCTGTATTAAATACATACCACCAACAGTGTATAAGAGTTCCCTTTTCTCCACATCCTTGACAATATTATTTTGTCTTTTTATTGATAGTTATTCTAACTGGAGTAAAATGATATCTCATTGTAGTTTTGATTTCCATGTCCCTGATGATTATTTCTAAGGCCTCTATTTTGTTCCATTGGTCTATATCTCGGTTTTGTTCCATTGGTCTATATCTCTGTTCCATTGGTCTATATCTCTATAACAGTACCATGCTGTTTTGGTTACTGTAGCTTTGTAGTATAGTTTGAAGTCAGGTAACTTGATGCCTCCACCTTTGTTCTTTTGGCTTAGGATTGTCTTGGCAATGCAGGCTCTTTTTTGGTTCCATATGAACTTTAAAGTACTTTTCTCCAATTCTGTGAAGAAGGTCATTGGTAGCTTGATGGTGATGGCATTAAATCTATAAATTACCTTGGACAGGATGACCATTTTCATGATATTGATTCTTCCTACCCATGAGCATGGAAAGTTCCTCCATTTGTGTGTGTCCTCTTTTATTTCATTGAGCAGTGGTTTGTAGTTCTCCTTGAAAGGTCCTTCACATCCCTTGTAAGTTGGATTCGTCGGTATTTTATTCTCTTTGAAGCAATTGTGACTGGGAGATCACTCATGATTTGGCTCTCTGTTTGTCTGTTATTGTATGGGAATGTTTGTGATTTTTGCACATTAATTTTGTATCCTGAGACTTTGTTGAAGTTGCTTATCAGCTTAAGGAGATTTTGGGCTGAGACAATGGGGGTTTCTAAATATACGATCATGTCATCTGCAAACAGGGACAATTTGACTTCCTCTTTTCGTAATTGAATACACTTTATTTCTTTCTCCTGCCTGATTGCCCTGGCCAGAACTTCCAACACTATGTTGAATAGGAGTTGTGAGAGAGGGCATCCCTGTCTTGTGCCAGTTTTCAAAGGGAATGCTTCTAGTTTTTGTCCACAGTATGATATTGGCTGTGGGTTTGTCTTAAAAAGCTCTTATTATTTTGAGATATGTCCACCAATACCTAGTTTATTGAGAGTTTTTAGCATGAAGGGCTGTTGAATTTTTTTGGAGGCATTTTCTGCATCTATTGAGATAATCATGTGGTTTTTGTCTTTGGTTCTGTCTATAGGATGGATTACGTTTATTGATTTGTGTATATTGAACCAGCCTTGCATCCCAGGGATGAAGCCAACTTGATCTTGGTGGATAAGCTTTTTGATGTGCTGCTGGATTCGGTTTGCCAGTATTTTATTGAGGATTTTTGCATCGAAGTTCCTCAGGGATATTGGCCTAAAATTCTCTTTTCTTGTTGTGTCTCTGCCGGGCTTTGATGTCAGGATGATGCTGGCCTCATAAAATGAGTTAGGGAGGATTCCCTCTTTTTCTATTGATTGGAATAGTTTCAGAGGGAATGGTGCCAGTTCTACTTTGTACCTCTGGTAGAATTCAACTGTGAATTTGTCTGGTCTTTGACTTTTTTGGTTGGTAGGCTATTAATTATTGCCTCAATTTCAGAGCCTGTTTTTAGTCTATTCAGGGAATCAACTTCTTCCTGATTTAGTCTTGGGAGGGTGTATGTGTCGAGGAATTTATCCATTTCTTCTAGATTTTCTAGTTTATTTGCGTAGAGGTGTTTATAGTGTTCTCTGATGGTAGTTTGTATTTCTGTGGGATCGGTGGTGATATCCCCTTTATCATTTTTTATTGCATCTATTTGATTCTTCTCTTTTTTCTTCTTTATTAGTCTTGCTAGCGGTCTGTCAATTTTGTTGATCTTTTAAAAAGAAACAGCTCCTGGATTCATTGATTTTTTTGAAGGGTTTTTTGTGTCTCTATCTCCTTCAATTCTGCTCTGATCTTAGTTATTTCTTGCGTTCTGCTAGCTTTTGAATGTGTTTACTCTTGCTTCTCTAGTTCTTTTAATTGTGATGTTAGGGTGTCAATTTTAGATCTTTCCTGCTTTCTCTTGTGGGCATTTAGTGCTATAAATTTCCCTCTACACGCTACTTTGAATGTGTCCCAGAGATTCTGGTATGTTGTGTCTTTGTTCTCATTGGTTTCAAAGAACATCTTTATTTTTGTCTTCATTTCATTATTTACCCAGTAGTCATTCAGAAGCAGGTTGTTTAGTTTCCATGTAGTTGTGTGGTTTTGAGTGAATTTCTTAATCCTGAGTTCTAATTTGATTGCACTGTGGTCTGAGAGACAGTCTGTTCTTTTACATTTGTTGAAGAGTGCTTTACTTCCAACTATGTGGTCAATTTTGAAGTAAGTGTGATGTGGTGCTGAGAAGAATGTATATACTGTTGATTTGGGGTGGAGAGTTCTTTAGATGTCTATTAAGTCCACTTGGTACAGAGCTGAGTTCAAGTCCTGGATATCTCTGTTAACTTTCTGTCTCATTGATTTGTCTAATGTTGACAGTGGGGTGTTAAAGTCTCCCATTATTATTGTGTGGGAGTCTAAGTCTCTTTGTATATCTCTAAGGACTTGCTTTATGAATCTGGGTGCTCCTGTATTGGGTGCATATATATTTAGGATAATTAGCTCTCTTTTTGAATTGATCCCTTTACCCATTATGTAATGACCTTCTCTGTCGCTTTTGGTCTTTGTTGGTTTAAGTCTGTTTTATCAGAGACTAGGAATGCAACCTCTGCTTTTTTTTGTTGTTTTCCATTTCCTTGGTAGATCTTCCTCCATCCCTTTATTTTGAGTTTATGTGTGTCTCTGCATGTGAGATGGGTGTCCTGAATACAGCACACTGATGGCTCTTGACTCTTCATCCAATTTGCCAGTCTGTGTCTTTGGGTTACCCACAAAGGGAAGCCCATCAGACTAACAGCAGATCTCTCAGCAGAAACTCTACAAGCCAGACGGGAGTGGGGGCCAATATTCAACATTCTTAAAGAAAAGAATTTTCAACCCACAATTTCATATCCAGCCAAACTAAGCTTCATAACTGAAGAAGAAATAAAATCCTTTACAGACAAGCAAATGCCAAGAGATTTTGTCACCACCAGGCCTGCCTTACAAGAGCTCCTGAAGGAAGCACTCAACATGGAAAGGAACAACTGCTACCAGCCATTGCAAAAAACATGCCAAATTGTGAAGACCATCAATGCTAGGAAGAAACTGTGTCAACTAATGAGCAAAATAACCAGCTAACATCATAATGACAGGATCAAATTCACACATAAGAATATTAAGCTTCTTGTATACTCTTATCATATGAATGATTTGCAAATATTTTCTCTCATTTGAAAGGTTGTCCCTTCACTCTGTTATTTTATTTCATTGCTTTGCAGAAGCTTTTTAATGTAGTTTCACTGGTCTATTTTTGTTTTAGTTGTCTACGCTTTTGAGGTCTTTAGTCATAAATTCTTTGCCTAGACCAATGTCCAGAAGAGTTTTCCCTAGGTTTTCTTCAAAAGTGTTTATAGTTTTCAGTCCTACATGTAAGTCCTTAATCCATCTTGAGTTAACTTTTTTTTTGTATATGGTAAAAGATAGGGGTTTGGTTTCATTCTTCTGCACATGACTATTCAATTTTCCCGGCATTATTTGTTGAAGAGGGTGTTTTTCTCCAATGCATGTTCTTCTTGTCATTGTGAAAAATCAGTTGGTTGTAAATAAGCAGTTTATTTCTGCGTTCTCTATTCTGTTCCATTAATCTATGTGTCTGTTCTTATACCAGTATCATACTGTTGGTTACAATAGCCTTGCAATGTAATTTGAAGTCAGTTAATGTGATGCCTCTAGCATTGTACTTTTGCTCATGAATGTTTTGGCTCTTATGGCTTTTTTTTTTTTTGGTACCATATGAATTTTATAATGGTTTTACTAAATCTGTGAAAAATGATGTAATTATTTTGATAGAGATTACATTGAATCTGTAGATTGATTTGGGCAGTATAGTCATTTCAACTATCTTAATTCTTCAAATCCATGAGCATGGAATATTTTTCCTTTGGTTTGTATTATCTTCAATTTGTTTCATCAGTGTTTTGTGGTTTTCCTTGTAGAGATCTTTCACCTCCTTGATTAAATGTATTCGTAGCTATTTATTTTATTTTATTTTATTTTATTTTATTTTATTTTATTTTATTTTATTGTTAGCTATTGTAAATGAGATTGCCTTCTTGATTTCTCTCTCAGCTAGATCATTATTGGTGTACTAAAAGGCTACTGATTTTTGTATGTTGATTTTGCATCCTGAAGCTTTACTGAATTGATTTATCAACTCTAAGAATTTTTTGGTGGAGTCTAGGTTTTTCTAGATATAGGATCATATCATTAGCAAACAGGTATACTTTGACTTGTTCTTTTCCAGTTTGGATGCCTTTTATTTCTATCTTTGCTAGACTACACAAGCTTTTCTCTTTAATTGTAGAGATTCCAGCATTCTAACTTTTTGACTCATTTCCCCTAATGTTGGAGCATTGGTAGGCACATGATCTAATGTCCACAGGAAAAACAGAAATCATTTAACTATTTGTTAGTAACTAAATAAATATTCTACATTCCTCACCTGTTATATTCTAACAGAATTCAGGAAATTCAATATTTTAGAGTCAGTTACTTGTGAAACCCCATTATTGGTAATCAAAATGTTATCAGTTATATCTTTTTGGTTGAAAAATAATTTTTACAAGTGAAATCAAACTAGTAAAATATACAAGGAAATTATTTCCCCACATTATTGAAAATGTCAATTGATTCACATCGTAAGGACTCTATACCTGAGGTATGTGTATATGTGTGTATGTGTATGCACATGTGTGCATGACTATCTTGGTTCTATCTTCCTCGCCAGTCATATTTGTCCTCAAATCTTGGAGGCAAAATGAATACAATGTTTCTAGGCTTTAAAAGTAACATAAAACACTCTCCAGAGGAAGAGAGGGGGACTGTATCTTAGCTTTCTCATCTAAAGTCATGAAATATTACTCATATTGGGTTTATCAGATCAAAGGATATACTGTGCACATTTATTTAAGTACTTCTCTTAAATAGAGGAAGTACTTCAAGTATGTATCTCACCTGTGCATCAAGAGACACTGTCATAAATTTTATAAATAATACATTTTCAGCATACATGGGCTCTTAGGAAGGAAAAGAGAGGGAAAGATTGAGTACATTTCCATTTTTTGTTGCACCTCAATAAATAGCCAGGTAAAACAAAGTATACATTGAATGAATTATCAAAGCCTCATTGAAATAAAATTTTGGTTATGTTACCCACAGTGTTAAGTCATTTTCCAAAAAATTACATTCTCAAAAATTAGTTTTCATAGTGAAACTTAATGTGAGGGTGGACTCCATTACACTGGACTACAGAAAGTTAGTTTTAGTAAATAATTTTATTAAAGCAAAAAATTTGATCACTGATTATTCAAGACATTTCTCCTAAACAATATTAGTTAATCTCATGCAAGCTCAGACAGATGCTTTATCACATAACTTTGGAAAAGATATTAGATCACACACTCTGCTTGCTTGTCTTTTAAAGATCTTGATCTGATTTATGGTTTCCAGTACTTGCAAACTTTCATTCCTTAAATAAATATATAAGCCCCATGCTAAATGCTCCAACCACATTGAGCCCACAGTTTTGAGGTATCACTGTGATTTTATTCACTGACACTCTCAGAAAGGGATCTTAAAAGTAAATGTTCAAAAAAGCTGAAGCCAGACTGGAACACAGAGCCTGTTCAGCTTATCTTCTCATAGCACTAATTTTAATAGTAAACATATGTCCCTTGTTGGATGTGTGAATTCATATCACTTGAGTTTATCTCTAGGTATAGTATTTCCGGCTCAGAAGGTATGAATATATTCTGACGTAGTAGATAAAACTAAACTATTTTACAAGTGATTATGCCATTTTATACACCCATCAGCAATTTATGAGAGTTCTAGTTGCTCAACATCACTGTCGATTTGGGATTATGAGACTAACCACCCTACGAGAAAAGGATTTTGGCTTAGCCTCCATTTATTCATTTTCATAATGAGCTTATCAGATGGGTGTTGTGTGAAAATATTTTTCAGGAACGGGCACAAGAAAATAAATCAGTGAATATTAGTTATAACAAAATTCTAATTAAAAATAGCCAAAACAACATGCCCAAATAGTATTCCCTAGCCAGGGGTGATCTTTTATTTCATCGCATTTAACTGTTAATATATTCATTTGATTCTCTTTAGTGTTATAATGAAGAAGCAGTGATATCCTTTGGAACTGGAAAAATAGGTGTGCATTTTTAAATTAAACGATTTCACCTTGATAAAGTGAGAATTATTCACATAAAAAGAAGCTCTCCCATAGTGATAAAGTCATTATCCTTAATGTGGTACTCCAGAAATATCCTCATAGAGCGTGTGCTTCTGGAGTGGGCCTTCCAGATCAGGAAGGAATTTATGGTGTTGTATCAGAGAAGGCTTTCCTGCTGGAAAACAGAGCACTGTGAATGGGGAGACGACAGTATTGTGAGCAGATGGAATTAACATTGGAGCGAAAAACAAGGTCTGACTTAGATTCACGAATACTCCACAAAAGAATACCATTTTCCTCTACCTGCAGATTTTCTTCTGGAAACAAAAGCAAGGTTTATTTCCAATATTTTACTCCAAACATTCAAACAAACAACGTATAAGCAGCATGCCTACAGAGGAACACGTGTTGTTCTGTTTTGTTTTTAACCTATTAGGTTTTTTAATTACAAATACATTTTACAAAAATAACTGCAATTTTCCAAACTATTAAATTGGGATTTTTCTCTAGTATTTCATTCTGTTGGTTTTACCATTAATTCCTCTGAGTGAGTCCTTTCTAGGCTCTTCTCAGCCCCTGGCAAGTAGGAGTACTCAAACATGAAATCAATCGGACTTTTAGAAATACGTTCCTGAGGAAATCCACTTGCTATTTCTATTTTTTTCTGGCAGGACGGCATTGTTTTCTCTCAGGCTGCTGGATGCTGTCTAAGTGTTCCAGATAATCTTTTCATTTTACAATCTGTTAAATGTATTAAAGAATAAACTCACAACTTAAGGGTTATTGCAAAGTTGAAGAGATGACAACACAACATACTAAGTGGTTAAAGGTTCATTTGAAATTCAGGATGAATGGAAGTACACTAAATTCACAGTGATTATCCATATATCTTCCATTCAGTCCAGAAGTGCCTAGAGTCTCTGTTAAAAAAATACACTATGGTTCAGGAACAATATCTGTTTTAAGCCAATGACAACTAAACTCCCCAAACTAAAATTTAAAATTTGCCATTTCAATATTACCAGCATAATTCACAGTATCAAGTCAGTATACAGAATCTCATGGCTTGAAGGTAGGTTGAGAAAGCATAGAACACCTCTTAATGCCCAGTTATGGTTTCTTCTGTCGTCATAAAATGCAAAGTACATATATGCAAAGATTGATGTGTTAGTTTCTTCTTTTGCTCAATTCAAAAACTAGGGGCCACCCTCCTCAATCCTCAAATACAATGAAGCCAATAAATGTGAATTCACCATTATGAACACGAATATTAAAACATTACTTAGAAATACAAATAATTGATGTTTAAAGACTTTTTCAAGATATATGGGTATAAATTCAGCATAAGAAAGTAATAACTTAATAATTTAAATAATGGTTAACAAATAACATCGGAGTCAGTCTGCACTGCCTCTCACAGGCATGGGATATTTGGAAGTTTCCAAAACATTCTAAGTCTTGATTTCTACATCAGTAAAATGATATCCATTTTATTGGTGTCACAGTGTTAAAATTAAATTTTAAAATTAAAATTATTTTCACATATACAGTCTCATATAAAATAGAAATGTAAGACCTAGTACAGTGGCTCACACCTGTAATCCCAACAACTGTGAAGGCTAAGGTGGGACACGATCACTTGAGGCCATGATTTTGAGACCAGCCTGGGCAACATAGTGAGACTCTGTCTCTATAAAAAATAAAAATATTACTGGACATGGTGAGGCATTCCTGTAGGCACAGCTTCTCAGGAGGCTGAAGTGAGAGGATCGCTTGAGTCCAGGAGTTCAAGACTACAGTGAGCTAGGAGGACATCACTGCACTCCAGCCTGGGTGAGAAAGCAAGAATCTATCTTTACATAAAATAAAACTATATATATATACACACACAAATATATATAAATATATACACACACACATATATATGCATATCTCATATGTAAATGCAAGTATATATTATGCATACACACATATCTTTTGCAGATTTAAAGCTTTATACAAATTTAACTCTGAATTTTTCCAACACCGCTAGATAATTCATACATGGTGATGTCTTCTAGTTTAGGCAACAGGCTTTCTAAACAATGTGCCATTATAACCAGACATGCATGACAGTGTCATAGTGTAACTAAATGTGTCTTATAGATAGATATACCTCAAGTATATAGCAATTATCCTCTGAAAAATAAACACACATTTATTTTAAGAATTATTGAATTTATAGTAATTTTATTTCCTTGTTAGCAACATGAGAAAACACTTTTCTACAAAAGTCAATTCTAAATACAATTCCTTCTATTTGAAAAGAAAATCTTTTTTTATCTGGGTAACTTACCTTAAAAAGATAAAAATTTGGTTCTTATTAGAATGCACGGTAAGTTAAAAGCTAACTTTAACATTTTATGGCAAATCGCAGAGCTCAGATAACTGTTTTAAATAGGTGTGCACTGTTCAGGAACCTCCTTAGGGTCAGTGTTCATCAGTTTTTTTCTTTATATCTTCATGTCTTTCCTGGAGCTTCATATATATCAAGGCACTCATATTTGTTGAAGTGGATTGATGTGAGCTCAATTCTTAAAAGAGGAAAACAATTGTCCTCACCTGAGAAAAGTCTTGATACCTCATTTGTAAATAATAATGTACTATACCTGCTTATTTATCATCTACCACTCCTCTCCTGACAGATTCAGTACAGAAACCATGCTTCTCTCTCTTTTTTTTTTTTTTTTTTTTTTTGAGACAGAGTCTGGCGGTGTCGCCCAGGCTAGAGTGCAGTGGTGCTATCTCAGCTCACTGCAACCTCCGCCTCCTGGGTTCAAGCTGTTCTCCTGCCTCAACCTCCCGAGTACCTGAGACTACAGGCACTCGCCACCACGCCCAGCTAATTTTGTGTGTGTGTGTGTGTTTTTAGTAGAGACAGTGTTTCACCATATTGGCCAGGCTGGTCTCGGAATCCTGATCTTGTGATCTGCCCTCCTATGCCTCCCAAAGTGCTGGGATTACAGGTGTGAGCCACTGTGCCAGGCCAACCATGCTTCTTTTATCTGCCAATATGACATTAGGAGCTAGGATGACAAAACTGTATTGTTTATGAATAAATGAGCTTACAGTTCACTTTTAATTGGTTGACATATACCAAACGACATTTTACTTTATTCTTTGGAACTAAAAATTTGTCAACTTTAATCAGTGTTTTTCAAGGAGAGAAAAACTGGCTCCAGGCATTAGATTTTTCTATAGGAATGCAGTGTGTGGTATCCTAATGTTATTCTTGATTTGCTAAGCTCTTTGAAATTTGAGTGCCTTTATAAAGTAAAAATTGAATTTGGCTTATAAATGTGAAGCTACAACTAAAATTCCTAAGAAATGAAACAGGCTCTCATTTTGTATGTTACAAATGAATATGATATGCTTTTAATACCAAGACATGCTTTTTTTTTAGAAACAAATGAACATAATATATTATACTGCCGTTGAAAACAATAAAAGGAAAAGGTCAGTGGGTATAATCAACAAGTTTTCTATAAAGAAAGTTTCTGTTAGCATTACAGGAAAAATAGGAACTAGAAATAAAAGTAGAGGTGGAAAATTGCTTTTGGAAAATTAGAGAGAAGTAAAAGGAATTTAAATAATTAAATCAGTCTCAGGAGCAGAATTTCTCTCTTGTTCTTACTGATCAAGGAAAATGTGGCTCTCATATGCAGAGGGTACTGAGTGTCTAGAACAATGTTTGGCCGGAGTGGGCACTCGAGGTCCCCTTCTTTCCTCAAGGGATCAAATCAAACCTGCTCTACTTGTTTTTTGTTTGTTTGTTTTTTTTTTGAGACGGAGTCTCGCTCTGTCACCCAGGCTGGAGTGCAGTGGCGCGATCTCCGCTCACTGCAAGCTCCGCCTCCCGGGTTCAGCCATTCTCCTGCCTCAGCCTCCCGAGTAGCTGGGGAATACAGGTGCCCCGCCACCACGCCAGGTTAATTTTTTTGTATTTTTAGTAGAGACGGGGTCTACTGGTTTTAACATTTCCCCACACTGTGGCCAAATCTTCTCATTCCATCTCCCCTAAGAGGAAGCTTTTATCATCTCATCTTCTCTAATCGTGTGTCATTCTAATTCTACGGCTATGTTCCTCTTTTCCAGCTCCTCTAATGGCCTGGCTTCACAACAATTAAGTTATGGAATCTAGAAGTATTCTACCAGGATAGAAATCCAAGTGTAGTTAGATTGGATACATTCAAATGGCATGTCTGGTTAATTATGTCTAGATATAATTCTCCAAGCTGTGAGGCTAATTTTGTCAGTTTTACATAACATTAGTAGAATATGCATCTCACATTGACGGTGCAGTGATGATTTTATGTATATATATGCTCATTTCTCTTTAAGATTTATATTGTTAGGGAAAATACTCATAATTTTTGTTCTTATGTATAACACTTATTCATTTCTTTAATAAATATTCACTGAGTTTCTATTACATTCCAGACACTGTTTCAGGCACTGGAGATTCAGAAGCACAAGAAAGGGAGTTCCAGACATTATATAGATAGGAAACACAAAATGAATGTTCATAAATCAGAATTGTAAGCACATGTTACCAACATTTGTATGAGTATATTTTAAATGAATGTGCCAGTATAATTTACAAACTTCTCAGGGAAAATATGTCTCAAAATGAGGTTGATTTGTAACAAAATATAAATATAGATTCTATATAATATTAAAATCTTTGACCGACTTCTTTATACATGTGAACAGATTGATCTTTTTTTGATATTCCGGTTATTGAAGACAATTAAAAATGATAGTTCTGTCATTGTGTTTGGTTGCATAGTTTCATTACTAGTTTCATTTTTCAATTCACAGTTCATGTTCAGAAATATTTAATCTACTTGTCTAATTTGTAAAAGACAAGTAACTAAGACAAAATAATTGATAAATCCACGAACTTTGGCACAAAGAAACTGTGACATGTCAAATGCTGATGAAAACAAACGAGAGAGGTAAACCACGGACAATCATAATTGTGCTATGTTCACAGCTGGGTCACCAGAAGCAAAAGCCACTGTACAGACATGGTCATCTGACAATGAGCTATATATAGGGCACATTTCTATCTGTGAATGAAATGTTAGTGAAACCTAATTCCTCTCTTATTCTTATGGGGAAATTAAGTATAAGCAACAGTTCTATTGTCTCTTTGTGTGCCCCATCAAAGCATTACCCTATGTTAGAGACCACTATTCCAGACCAGGAAATTATTTATGGTTTTATCATTATTAATAGATTATAGTTGTCTTGACAAGATCTCTGTAGGAGTTTCTGCCTGCAATCCAGATAGCTGCCAACGAAAGATATGGTATACTGCATGGTTACACAAACCTTCTTTTATTGTTGATATCGTAAACCCTCAGAATTTAAATGTCAAACATTTTCTAGTAAAATAAACCTATTTTTAAATATGTAATATAAAACACATAAAGTTTTTGGTAGTGAAAAATATAGTTCAAAAGTGAACTGACGTCTGGTTCCAGCTCTACCCTTATTCCTTTGAACTTAAATCTTTGTGCCATCATGTGATCAATGTCATAGAATGTTAAATTATTGAACTTAAATAGTTAAATTTTAAACTGTCCTCATGATGCCATAATTTAAAAAGAAAGATAAATAAGCAAAAATAATTTTCTAATATAGTCACTGGACTTATCTACTAAAATCCATCTACTCTAGGTAATTACTTGAGATAGCAATTCATATATGAATATTATTTATATGATCATATATTTATTTCTCTCTCTCACTGTGTAGATAATACATTACATATAAATAATATAATGTCTTAAATTACTTTGAATTATAAGTTAAGGTATTCTATATGGAATAAACAGCTGTTTTAAATATTCAATAATGTAATTATGTACAATTATTCACAATTACCCTTTCATATTTTGAAAAATGTCAATTTTCAATGAAATATATAAGTATATATGTATATATATAGTGTTTTATAAACTCAATTTTAAAAGTTGTATATAAAGTATGCAAAAGAAATAGGCAATGATTTTAGTGTTACTTCTATATGATGTTATTAAGGGTGACTTTTTCTACATCTCCATTTTATTCTATACTTTCAAAATTTACTAAATGAATATGAGTTACTTGGATCACACAAAAGCAAACGGAAAGAAAAATTAGCCAATGTGGCTATAGAGTAGAGACAAACGTTTATCTAACCAAGTTTTGTTTAGGTATAGAATTTCTTCCCACTTAATTCAAAAACTAACTGCAACTTTATTTAAGACATGCAATTTGTCAGATGTTTCATTTAGTGCTACATAAAATTGATTTTCTGAAGTAAATACTCACAACAATCATTTTTCTTTGTAGTGCATAACTTTCATACCAATTCATGTTTATAAAGGCAAAGTTTAAAATTTGAATAACGTTTGAGGTTAGGCAGGCTTTATAAATGTACGAAGAAGCTGATTTAACACAAAAGGGAATGGTTGGGGACCCTGGAAAACTGGAGAGTGCATGACCTGCCTAAGGACATTCTCTTAAAACTGTCAATACTTTACTAGCTGAAGGAAACATGTCCACAGGCGGAGTTCAGATCATAGGATAAAATTTGCAATCAGTAATTACAAACTCAACTTTATTCTTAACAAGACATAATGGAAATAAACATGAAAACTGGAGGTGAATTTCACCATTATCATGGTGAAAAATTATGCAAAATGATTAAATAAATAACAAATATAAAGAAATGTATTAATGGTCACAAGCAGGAATCTCATGTACACATATATAGAATTTATTTATATAAACTTTAATTGCAGCATTAAATGTGAATGAAAATATAAATTAAGAATTACAATTTGCTCAAGCTTGATAAAGTTGCTTTCCAGAGTTATGTGACCATTGAACCAAGAAAGATTTTTATAGCCTCAATTGGCTGCAGGCATTAGGTCCCTTTAATGTGACATTAATCTCACTTGGTTTCTACACTAGCCCTGACGAGGTAAGAAATCTATCTAGAGGCTGCAACTTGCCACTTTCTAGAATTGTTTTGTGAAATTCGTGCTCCTTTCCTTCAATCTCTGCGAGTTTGATCAAGATTCCTGTTTAGATCCACAATTATCCACTGTCTTGATGGCTGAAATGTTGACCACTTGGCTGTACCTCTGGTATCCAAACTATTCTTCCCACCCTCAACTTTGAATACTGGATGGTCTTCTCCACACACGTAAGTGCCAGCTAGCATTCTGCTCAAGAGGCCTAGCTTATTGCCATGATATCCTTTCTTTTCTCATTTGAACATTGTCCACTTTACATTCTTTTTTTTTTTTTTTTTAAAGTAAGATCTTGCTCTGTCTTACAGGCTGGAGTGCAATGGTGCAATCATGGCTCACTGCAGCCTGCACCTCTAGGCTTGAGCGATCCTCCCACCTCAGCCTCTCAATTATCTGGGACCATAGGCACAGGCCACCTGAACCACCTAATTTTTATAGTCTTTGTAGAAATGGGCTTTGCCATGTTGCCCTGACTGGTCTTGAACTCCTGTTCTCAAGTGATCCTCCCACCTTGGCCTCCTAAATTGCTGGGATTACAAATGTGAGCCATGATATCTGTCCTCACTTTATATTCTCTTACAGCTGAAATTCATTCACTGGATTGGGTCTCTTTCATCAACGTTGGGTCAAATCAAACCTGAGTATGACAAACGTTTTGGGGTCCTAAATGTTTTACTCTTAGTTATGCTCTTAAGATACCAACCTTTAGGTAGATAGTGCTTTATATACAGTCCCAGAAAATTTTGGCATGCAATATTTCTTCTCTTATTCCATGTTTATGTACCATCAATAATCCAGAAGTTTTAAATGAAAAGGCACTTTGAATTACACTATTACATGGAGTTATGTACCAGAAAGAAAGAATTGTTTTTCCAACATTAATTATTATATCCACATTGTACATCCATTCAAAAGTCAGCAGACTTGTTTATGGCAGAATTGCTTTTGACTATTTAAGATTCCGACATTTTTAGGAAGCTGAGAAAAGAGAAATCTTCCTTTTTCTGGTATCATTCGGAATTCAGTCAAAACACTGCAGACTGGAAATGACATATTTTGTTTCGACCCTTGAAAGTGAAAAGAAGGATAATCTCTGATGAAAACTGTTGTACTGTGAACATTGCCACAACATGAGCGGGAGACAGCATAGACAGAGGGCAGTGCAAATATGCCTTTTGGAATTATTAACAGGCAAAAAATCCTTAATAGACACAACATAAAAATTAGGGGCTTTATTATGATCATGCATAGAATAATATAATTTGTAATTCATTTTTAAAGTAATAGAAAATTAAAGATACTCATAGGAATAATAAGTCTAGGGTATAGAAGTCACATAATTCCCACAATAAAACTGGCTTTGTTATTCTTCTAAAACCGGTGAGTGAACCAAATTCAAAATTGAGTATCTGTCAAAATGCATCAAGAAAAGTAGAAGCTGAGAAATTTACTTAAATATTGTTGTTTCTGTGTCAGGCAAATTTCTTATCTGAGGATAGATCCCTGCTTTTGCAGCACTAATGTTCCAATACTGGAAAATAACCTAGATATTTTGAGGAACATACAAGACCAGGGACTTACAGCATAATGAACATGAGAGTTCAATTCTAAAATGAATTCAGAGAAATAGATTCCTAATCAGAGAAGGTCTGAAACATAATGGGAAGAAATCAGGATTTCATTGTAAATGAAATCTTTAAAAAATGAAAAGCTTTTAATCATGACATAAATAATCTGTAAAAGATAATTCTGTTCAATCAACGAAGAATAGATGTAGGACAATAGCCACATGTTGAATTTTAGCTGAGTCCTCTGTTCCTACAAAACAGAAATGTTTAAGAAATTCTCCCACCTTTTAGTGTTCTGGGTAATGGCTTATTACAATGAAATGCCCTTTCCCTTAAGACTTTGATAAGACTCACAGGAAGTACCCTTATTTACCTGTGAAAAGGCCAGACACATGCCCTCTAAATTCCCTTTCCTTGCCCCTTAAATAATTAACTAAATCGCTTGTCCTTACTGATCTATCAGTTCAAAATACTTGCTAACCAAACTTTGTTTTTTGTTTTTGTTTTCCTTCCCTGGACCTTTAAACCTTGACCCACCTTCAGCCTGAGCCAACATACAACATGCAACCCTTCCTGAAAATTGGCTGGCTTCAGAATAAAACATTCTCTGACTTACTATCCCACTCTTATGCCACTCTTTCCTCCTACTTCTCCACACACTATTCTTCCTAGCCTTGTTTACTCCTCCCCATAAAAGAGAAACCTCTTTTGCCTAACACTTCAGATGCTTGCAGAGCTCATAATCAGAGTGAACTTCCTATTTGAAATAGTCCTCTCCCCTAGGCAGGGCGCGGCGGCTCACGCCTGTAATCCCAGCACTTTGGGAGGCCGAGGCGGGCGGATCACGAGGTCAGGAGATCGAGACCACAGTGAAACCCCGTCTCTACTAAAAATACAAAAAATTAGCCGGGCGCGGTAGCGGGTGCCTGTAGTCCCAGCTACTCGGGAGGCTGAGGCAGGAGAATGGCGTGAACCTGGGAAGGGGAGCTTGCAGTGAGCTGAGATCGCACCACTGCACTCCATCCTGGGCGACAGAGCGAGACTACGTCTCAAAAAAAAAAAAAAAAAAAAAAGAAATAGTCCTCTCTCCTTTCCCCCATCATGCAATAATCCTTTTGAATAAATTCTCTCCTTTCCTAAGTCCCTATTTGTTTTTATTTGACAATGCGCATGGATGAAAGCCTAGATGTAATTTAGGTTATTGATGTCATAAAAATGAGGTAAAATGATAGATTATATTTACATAACTTCAAAGAGCAAGCATAGTGATGATTTTACCAAGAAATGGAAGACTGCAAGAAAAACATGTTTGATGTTAAGAATAAATATCAAGATTTTATTTTGGTCAGTAAAATTTAAGATGTTTTTTAAACATCCTAGTAGGCAGTTGGAGTTTGATAGGAGTGATGATAGCTGCGTGTTAATTTGAGAGTCATCAGCATAAAGGCTATATTTAAACAAAGTCACTAGAGGAGATAATCTATGAAGACAGTAAAAATGGAGAAGAAGAGAAAGAAAGTTTAGGACTGAGACTTAGAGTACACTAACACTTAGAGATCAAGCCTAGGTGTAAGAACTGACAAATGAAATCAGCTGATGCCTTGTGCTGGGGGAGGGAATCAAAACATTAAAAAACTTATAGGAATCAGAAATGTATCAACAGTGTGATCCAAGAGAACAAAATAGGTGTCTTGAGCTTGTGCAACCACTCATTCTGCTTGCCACACAACAGCCAATAAATTGAGAGACAAGGAGTTAGAGCAAGGAAGGCAACTTTATTTTGGATAGCCAGCAAACCAATAACATGGTAGACTAATGTCCTAAAGAACCATCTTAAGTCAGCACAGATTTCAGGCTCTTTTTATGTTGAGGACGGCGGAAGATGAGGAGGTTGGGATCAAGAGGTTACTGATGACCGCAGACATCTGGATGCCAGCAAGGGTCCAAGGAGGTTTGGAATTTCTTTGCCCTTGGTCAGGTCACAATGCTTCTATAAGTTTTTAACAAAAAGTAGTCAGGTGTTTACATACTTCTCTTTTATTCACAGAGTTGGTTTCAGAAACTACATGATTGTTTTTGCAAATTATCTCAGTGCTCTAAAATTATCCTAGTCTACTTGTAGGAGGCCCCTTAAACAAAAATTGAGTTATCTATGTTAGTTCTTTGGCTGTTTCACTGTGGCACTTTTTCACACAAGATCTGGAACATTGAGTACCATACACTTCAACAGATATAAATCCTTGTATGTTTGTCTATGTCATTGCATTTCTAGTATGTTTTATTAAATTTGTCATGATTACCATTAAAATTCCAACAAAGTAAATCAATTAAATATCAGAAGTGAGGGATTAGTAACCTGTTGATCATTACTACCAGTGTGGTACATCAATTTAACTTAAGCAAATTATTATTTGTTCTTACTATTCATTTCTTGAAGTAGAACAACATAGAACTTAACATTTCCAGTTGACTTCTTTCTTTGGTGAACATGTTAACAGAAAATGCAAATTTGTCTGTAGAAACTAGGAACACATCTGTCCTAGCCAGTCAGTGAGCAGAACTTGTCAACTCCAGGTGAGGATATATCCACTGAAGGAACTGCAAGTCACTATCAAAGGAACCGGAAAAATGCTTGCAAATATTTATATAACTTGTTTAAAAATAAATACTTATAACTTACTCCTGATTCTTCTCAGCACTCAAATCCTCCCCTAAGAGTATTTAGATAAGTAGGAATTCACCCCTAAATCTTTCTGATCACACAGCACAATGATAACTCTGAGTACCAGTATAAACATATACATATTATTATTTTTGTAAGTTATATTAATAAAAACAGGAAACCTCGATTACATAGGTTCATCCATGTCACTTGGTTTTTTTAGTAGTTTGGATATTTATTCAGGGCAAATATAAAGAGGAATCATTGGATTCCTTTTCCTCAACAGAAAATAGCATAACTGCATAGAAACAAAAATGCATGCCCCAAGGAGAACACAGAACTTTTTCTGTAGCAGTTTATGCTGTCAGCACATTCCAGATTGATTTGTAAATCTAATATGAAAGATTGAGTAACAGTCTGTGTGTAATTTAATATCTCCAATTTTATATCCCCTCTAAAACTAAGTTAAAATCGATTACAATATAAGAAGTACATCTACAAAACAATTAATTTATTTTGGCTTCTTCTGTCTTGAAAACCACTAAAACAATAAAGGAATTTTTAACTGTTATCTTCTACTTAGCCCTCATAGTACCAAAATCTAGGTATCTTTATACTATCGTCTAAAGAAACATCAGACACATATTTATGAGAATGCCAAGAAGTTGAGTTTCAATGAATGCTACATATATAGCATTCAGTACTTGAAACATTTATTAATAAAAATAATCATCAGGGCTGGGCATGGTGGCTCACGCCTGTGACCCCAGCATTTTGGGAGGCCGAGGCGGGTGGATCATGAAGTCAGGAGATCGAGACCATCCTGGCTAACACGGTGAAACCCCATCTCTACTAAAAATACAAAAAATTAGCCAGGCGTGGTGGCAGGCGCCTGTAGTCCCAGCTACTCGGAGGGTGAGGCAGGAGAATGGCGTGAACCCAGGAGGTGGAGCGTGCAATGAGCCGAGATTGTGCCACTGCACTCCAGCCTGAGTGACCCAAAGAGCCTCCAACCCCCCCCCAAAAAAAAATAATCATCATCATCATCATCATTAGCACACCAGCTATAATACAAAGTTGTCTTTTGTTGCTTTATTTTGCCTCTTGAACTAATGCTTCACTCTTTTTCTACTTTTAACAAAGTCTGATAATGTAATTAATTTCAAAAGTACAAAGTTTTCTGTTGAACCATTAGATTCTCAGATAGCTTTAGATCTTAGTTTCAAAACTGAAGTTTCTACTTTTCTACTCTAATTAGCATCACTATCGGCACTAAACACAACTTATGACTTTGAAAAAAGTTTGTTTGTTTGTTTTTTCAAAAACTATACCAAGAAGCCAAAAACCAGTTCAATGCTCCCAATCTATTTAAATTTCCATGTGTATAATACATGACAACACTAAAACTTCCAAACAAATCATAAAATTTGATAGCACTATTTTAAAATTCTTATTGTAATACATTTTACATTCTCAGTTTCTAACTATTATTGCAGATTGACAACTCAAAACTATTTTGAATGTATTTTTCCCACCTGAAAACATTAAAAGTGACCTTCACTTCTATTTATACTCATATGAGAATACTAAAAAGAACGTGGATATTTTTATATATATATATATATATATATAGTGTATGTATATGTGTGAATATACTTATATACATCACACACAGAAAAACACAATCTATAGCACATATGTAGCAATACAGCCATGAATATTTGTGTTCTATTTTATTTACAGCTGTAAGTTTCATTGAAGCACAATCAAAACCTCTATTTGACATGTAAAAACATATGAGTCTAATGATAAAACTCCTGAAAAAGTACCAAATATGAAGTTGATTACAAATAAATATGAGTGTCAGAGATTATAGGTATATTGTGCCTATATTTGAATGTCCTGTCTGTTATCTGACAACAATTTTTCAAATTTAATAGAATTGGAGGAATGTGTGGGTATAAGAAAAGCATGTAAATCTAACTATTAGTCTCTGTAGCATTTTTTTAAATTTTCAAATTTCTTACTTTCTTCAGTAATTTGTTTCACTAACAGCATAGTTTCATTTTAGCCTGTTTGTTCTTTCTTCTAATATTTCATCAGCATATCTCTAATCAAGAGTAATAATGTTTACATACGGTTCAGACACTTTTACACTGAAAATTGGTAACGCCTTTAAATAAAACCTAGATATATTTTTAGAATTTCATGTACTTTTTTATGCAGTAGTATTTATTATACATGAACATGTTCAGTTTTCATGTAATTGGTGTTTGCCTCCATGACCTTATGCTAAAGGGATTCTTTGAAACGTACACCCAGCTTAAATTTTGACAGATACTCACTATAGAAGACAGGTCTTCACCACAGAAATAAAAATTATAGTCAAATTAAATGTGGCATTTGCGATGTTCCTGCAGTTATTTTAAAGAGAAAGTAAGTGAACTAGCACTGAAGTGATCGATAATGTATTGTACTTAAATAGCCCCAATGATATCCTTTTATATCCAGGTGATTCACTGTATTTGGGATTGAAGAATTATAATGTAAGAAAATTCAAACAAACTTTGGCCTAGGGTAGCATAGCAACAGAAAGATATGTGCATGACCATTAGGGTTTTATGCTTTAATATTGAGGACACGTATGCCTGCAATATAAACACTTTTTAATCTTTTTTATTTATGTAGAATGATAAATGTAACAAAAGTTATCCTGATATTGTGATGTGCTATGTAAAATGTGTATTCTTTGCTCAATCCAAGATTTGTTGTATCTGCTATTTTCAAGAACATGTGGAGACTCCAGGTAAAACATCCACTGCCTTCAGTAACAGGGGCTCAGCTTCATATGGCATACCTGCTACATTATATGTGTGTAGGAAGGAAAGGAGAAAGAGGTCCAAAATAAAAGAAACAAGTAGCAAATGAAGACCTCAGAACATCAAGGGGGAAGTTTTTTGGATAATATTCAAATTTCAGCAATAGCATATGAGGGTCTTAGGGAATGGTAGCTCCAATTATATTGATTGTTACATGAATTGTTTTCATCCTTTTACCTTTTATCTCTCCTGCTTGGAGAGATAAGGGGATCTAGATAAACTGAAAAAAAGAAGTTAATAAACTTTTAGCATCTAAGTACTTCTATTATGTCAATTCACATTAAAAAAGTGTAAAACTGAAGACAGTGATTTTCCTACCTTCAGATGAAACATGAACTTAGTGTCATAAATGGCAAACTCTAAGATAAGTATGGGGTAAGTAAAATGCCAAGTGGGGTGTGACAATTGCATGACAATAACAGCTACAGAATCAGATTTAGCACAAGGTCTGGAAAACATCTAGAAATGTATAGTTAAGTGGCAACTAGAAAGCAAATACAGTATAATACAGTATTTGAGTTTGCAAAGGTAGGCAACTCTTGTTCATGTAACATTTAATAGGGGCTTCATTAAAGATTTGACTAGTTCAGAATTAAGAGACTAGTTCATAATTAAGAGTCAGTTCTGTTTACACATTGCTGAGTTTCTAGCAGAACTGTGAAAAGAACTGACTGGGCAGATAATATGGTTTGAATCTGTGTTCCCACCCAAATCTCATGTAAAACTGTAATCCCCAATGTTGGAAGAAAGATCTGGAGAGAGGTGATTAGTTCATGAGGGTGGAGTTTTCATGAATGGTTCAGCACCATCCCCCCTTGGTACTCTATAGTGAGTGAGTTCTCATGAGGTCTGGTTGTTTAAAAGTGTGTGGCACCTCTTCACTCTTTTTCTTACTCCTGCTCCTGACATGTAAGACTCCTGCTCCCAGTTTGCTTTCCACTATGAATAAAAGCTCCTTGAGGCCTCCCCAGAAGCAGATGCTGCCATACTTCCTGTATAGTCTGCAGAACTGTGAATCAGTCAAACCTCTTTTCTTTGTAAATTACCCAATCTCAGGCATTTCTTTATAGCAATGTGAGAACCAAGGAATACAGCAGAGAACAAAGGGATGAGCAGAGCTCACCAGTCATCTAGGGACAGCTGCTGTGCAGGAGAAAAGGTAGTGGTAGAAAATGCTCAAGCCATGACCCCAGAGAACCATCATGTGGTGACATGAAGTAAGCAGGGAGTGGCAGCAGGAAAAACGGTTCCACCAAACGTGTCAGTGTGTGAGCCATGATCCTAAAGGACAGGGGTGAGAACTCTATGCCCTGGAAGGCAAATCTAGCTTGTGGCCTACTTTTGGATCACCAAGAAACTAAGAATGGTCTGTATATTTTTAAAGGATTGTGAAGGAAGAGAGAAATGTGGAAGAGAAGAGGAAGCAGAAGAAAAGAAAAGGAATCAAGATCTTACACTACCTGAAAAGCCTAAAATATTTACCTTTATACAAATCTTTCCCTTTGTAGAAAAATTTTGACAATCCCTGCTCTAGAGAGAGGAAGAAAACTCCAAGGATTTACCAGGTTTCTGAAGGTAAACTACTGAGGAACAAAACCACTAATAAAATTCCTGCAAGAATAATGTATTTTTTGAGTTTATCACATGGAGTTTTTTTCTTAACCAAAGGATAATTGAGCCCACAAATAAAGACAAAATATCCACTAAAAATATATCACGTAGAAACCATTTTGAAAATTATGAAAAGAGTATTTAACTAGCCTAAATGTAGGTAGAACTATATGTCTGATAAAAAATAAAAAGCACACACTTAAAGCACACAACTTGCTAAGTTGTTGAAATTCTCAACACAATCAAGATTATATATTCATATACATATACAAATAAATATACGTAAGATATATGTAACTACCTAATATAAAATAGACCAATGATATGTATAGACACTTCATCAAAGTTAAGATGCATATATATGTATATTTATATATATATATCCATTACTAGTCTCAAAATGTCCTCACGTCCTCTTGTAATCTTCGTTTCTCCTTTTCTTGTCCTCCTCTCCAATCTCACCCCATTTCCAGGCAACCAGTGATTATCTTTGTGTTACTATATTTTTTTTCTCAAATTGTATATAATAAAATAAGTTTGTTATTTTGATATCCATTCATTTTTCATGCATGAATAGTTTATGCCTTTATATTGCATTGTACAGATGTACTAAAATTTTTTATGCATTCACTTGTTTTTGACTGTTATAAATAAAGCTGCTATGAACATTTATGTAGAAATCTTTATATGTACATATGTATTCATTTCTTTTAGGTAAATACCTAAGAGTGGAATGACAGGTCACATAGTATATATCCACTTAATTTTTTACACAAACGCCCAACTATTTTCCTGAGAGTTTTTGGCATTTTGTATTTTCACCAGTAGTGTATGAGAGTTAACACATTTTTACATGTTTACCCACGCTTGGCATACTTTGTCTTTTTAAAATTTTAGACATTCTAAGAGGAGTAGTATCTCATTATTCAAAATTTTCATTTATTTAATGACTGAGCATCTTTTTACGTGCTTAATTGATGTCTGTTTATCTTCTGTTATGAAATGTATATGCACATAATTCATTGATTTTATATTAGGTGGCTTTTTATTATTGAACTTTGGAAGTTATTTATATATTCTTGATACAAGTCATTTATTGGATAGGTGATTGTGAGTATTTTCTCCCCTAGTGTGGTTTGTATTTTTATTATTTTATAAAATTTATTTTTTAGACTATGGGAATAAGTGTCACCATGAGAATATTTGAAAATTATGAATAAAATATTACTAAATATCTGCCTATCTATGTATCTATCTCTGTTCTTTGTCTGAAACATCCTGAATGTATTGAAATTGTTTGTGGAATGCCTTGATGGGGCTATCACCTCATCATATTTTTATTAACTTCCTGCAGCATGATTTTATATGAATATCTAAACTTTCTAATAGTTTCCTCATTTAAGTCACTCTTTAGAATGTGACATGATAAAAGAAATACCGTTAATCCCAAGCTGTAGTCTTTGGAGACAGGAAATAGTCACCTGGCTAAGAAAAAGTGTAAAGCAGTAATAGGTTGTGGCAGGGAAATCTATATCAGTGTGTCAACTAGCTCTCCAACTAGCTCTCTGGTGGGGTACTAGTATCAAGATGATATCCAATTGATTCAGCATCATTTTATATGTGCACTGCTGCTGGCTGGCAAGATGCATTTTGTAAAGTTCCTACATATTAGTTTTGCTTCCTGTGGCAATACTATTTATTTTAATCTGTTGTTGAGGTTGTAATGAAGGAAAACGTTTGCCATCCCAAGGCCTACACATAGGCATAGGGAATGACATTACTTATGCCTTTTCCCTAAATATTACATTACTGCCTCTCTAAGTTTATGCTATTTTTTAAATGAATTATTCCTCTAAAGGTGGATAGTTAGAATATAATTGTAAATTTTCCACAGAAAGTAACAGCTTCAATATTCATCCAAAACCAACTTAAATTGATTGTTCTAAGTTCAAGGATACTAAAAGAACAGGAAATTACCCAGGCTCTGTTGGAATTTCCCACAAATACATGCTTGTAAAAATGCCTTTGCAATATTGGAGGACACATAAGAAATTAATGTCTTGAAACTATTACAATTTTGTAAACTATAAATTTTTTTCAGAGACCTCTTCTGTATAATTACTTGAATAGCCTTAAACTACTAAAGCTATTAAGGTTTCACCATCATTCAATTTCTGGTTAATTTCCACTCTATGATGAAAAATAACTAAAGTTTTAAAAAAAGCCAGTCTATAATGTAAGATATTGCCTAATGTTAATCCACACAGTAAAGAATTATGAGATCTAATTATTGGACATGGCAATGAAGATTTACTACGACCTTCATTACCACTACTGCTTTTGAGGTGCTATGTTTTACCTACTACGAGAGATTATTTTGAGATGTGACATTTCTCTGTTAGTAACCATAAAAAAAAACTTATAATCATTGTATTCATAATTTGTTTTATTCATTTATTACTATGCAATTGCTGAAAATAATAATTTTGCCTTTCATTTTTGCAAATATATCATAGATTCATAGATGTCTAAGCTAGCCCAGGCCCCACTATTATGCCTACAACTGAAATCATCGCAATTACCCTATTGCATTGAAATTATCTAATTCTATGACTTGCTGCCTCCCAAGAATCTAAGCTTATGCAAGAGCAAAAACTGTTTATCTCCACCACTTAGAATGGTAATTAGATATGAAGGAAATAGCAAAACTTTGCAGAATTGAAGTAAATGTGTTTTGTGTATAGTTTGTCTATTTTACATACTAAACGAGCTGTATTTTATTTTCATGGAAATCACACAATCTATGCCCAAGAAAGCAAACATATTTAGAATTTTAAAAGAGAGACCAGTAATGAGCTTCTAAGAAGTTTAAAAGTAAACTTCTCTGGAGAACTTCTTTAGGATTTTCTTTAATGCATTCTTGGGTATATGTAAATGGATTATTGTATTTCATGGGTTTACATCTAGCATGGCCAATAAACTGCTTAAGGGTAGCAATCTTATTCTTCATTCAATAATCTATATTCCTATACCTACAGTAACTCACTGTCATGCCTTTTCACAATTGGACTAAAATACTCAAGTTAGATTTTCTTATTGATTTTGTTAATGTAAGTAAGTAATTCAACATGGTAATTATTAATTTAATGTATACTTTGTACCCAATACTGTACTCAGCCCTGGAGACACCATAGTGAAAACGACAGTCTTTCAATTTGGTGAATTTACAAACTAGAGGAAGAAAGACAATCATCAGGTGATTACAGTGTACTATCATAGCCACCATGATAGGTGAAAGTTCTATATCTATGAGAAAAACTAACCCTGTCTTACACTGCTTAAGGAAGACTTTCTCAAAGCTTTAATGAGTAACCTAGAACTAAAGGACACTGAGAGTTTTATAGGAAGAAGAAGCAGCATCTGAAAAGGCACAGAATTGAGAGGGGTGAGCATGGCATACTAAAAATATAAAATAAAAATATAAAAATATTAAAAAAAATAAAAAATATAAAATAAAAAACTAAAAATATAGTTGTAGCATAAAGGCCAAGTGTGAGAAAAAAGTCAACATTTGTGTGCCGTGCTAAGATATTTATACTTTATTTGAAATTATAAAACTTAATTTTTAAGTTTTAAACAAGAGAAGGACACAATCAAATTCTTATTTGAGAAAATTCATTGGCTGTAGTACAGAAAATAAACGAAGAAACAAGTATCAGTTAATTCGGGGCACTGGTTCACATAATTCAGAAAAAAATGGTGAAATGAACTACAGCAACTGCAATAAGAATAGATAAAAAGATACTACTATAAGAGATATTAATTTTTTTGTTCAGCAAGTGACCCTGGGACAACTGGATATCCACATGCAAAGAATGAAGTTTGCTGAACTTACACCATTGGCAAAATTTAACTCAAAGTGGATAAAGACCTAAATGTAAGAGCTAAAACTGAAGAACTCTTAGAAGAAAACGTAGATATAAATATTAGTGACCTTAGATCAGGCAACGATTTATTAGAAATAACACCAAAAACGCAATCAACAACAACAAAAAGATAAACTGGGTATCACCAAAATTAAAAATGTTGTATTTCAAAGGACACTATCAAGAAAATAAAGAGACAATCTACATAAATGAGGAAAATTTGCAAATCACATATCTGATAAGATAGTATCGGGGTTTGAAGGGACTTGGGAGGCTAATCAAGGAAAAATATATGGCCATGAGGCGGCAATAGCACACACAACTATATTGGGCTACACTGACTAAGAAGTGATGGTTCCTACACAGAAGTGGAAAAAGGCAAGGGAACTTCTGGTCACTAGGAAGGAAAACTCTAGGTTAGAGAGCTCCAAAAAGCAGCAACAGCTTGGTATTTTTATAGGGCCCGGCTTATCTATTGCTAGCAGACGTGAGGCAAGGTTTTATGGGATATGCAAAGCAGGCAGTCTCTAAATGGCTAAAAATCAGCTTGTTTGGGCAACTTAAAAAATAATTGATGTGCAAAACTTTTAAGTTTGGCACCAGTGAGCTTTTAAGTTAACAAATCTCAGCCTAAATGAAGAAATAAACATCCTCAGGGCCAATAAAAAGAGGCCATCTTAGGCTGGTTTATGTAGCAGGTACTTGCCTCTGGAATATATAAAGAACTGTTACAACTCAATAATAAAAAGATGATTTTTTTAAATGGGCAAAGGATCTGAATAAAAATTATTACAAAGTAGATGTACAAATGACAAGTAAGCACAGCAAAATGTGTTCAACATCATTAGTCATTGTGCAAATGCAAATGAAAAACACAATGAGAAAACACTTCACAGTCACTATGACGACTATAATCTAAAAGATAAAAAATAGCAAGTGTTAGAAGGATGTGGAGAAATGAAACACTCATGCATTGCTGGTAGAAATGTAAAATGTTGCAGTTGCTTTGGAAAACTATCTGGCAGTATCTCAAATGGTTTGGCATAGAACTACTGTATGATTTCACAATTCCACTCCTAGGTATACACCCAAGAGAAATGAAACATATCTCCACCCAAAAACTTGTACATAAATGCTTTTGGCAACATTATTCATAATAGTCAAAAGGTAGAAGTAAACCAAAATGTCTATAAGTCAATGAATGGATAAAGAAGATGTGGTATATCTATACAATGATAAATTATTTGACCATAAAACAAGAATGAAGTACTGATATATGCTGCAATGTGAATGAATATCGAAAACATTTGAAGTGAAAGAAGCTAGTCACAAAGGGCCAATATTGTCTTATGCTATTTATAAGAAATGTCCAGAACTGATAAATCAATAGAGAAAAAAACGTTGATTTGTGGTTATCTAGGGGTGTTGTGAAAGGAGGGGTTGGTAGGTGGCATTTCAGTATTATGAGGTTTATTTGGGGGTAATAAAAGTGTTTAAATTGATCGTGGTGATGGATACACAACTGTGAATATGATAAAAGTGATTATAAACTCTAAGTGGGTAAATTTTATGGTATGTTCATTCTATCTTAATAAAGCCATTAAAATGAAATAAAAAGTGATTCTCTGAAAAAGATGTATGCATGGAAATATGGATAGGTAGATAAAACAGGGTTCAAGATATATTACAGTCAAGTTTCATGGCAGTTGGTAATGCCATTCACTGAAATAAAGAACACAGGAAAAGAAAAGGGATTTTTTTTCAATAAAATAAATTTGATGGACTAAATTTGAGACAACTTTGAAGCACCAAAATCGAGATGACCAATAAGCAGTTATTTATGTAGGCCCTGGGAAGAGGAGAAAAATATTGAATACAGATAGTTATTAGAGGATTGTCATTATACAGAAGTCCTGGTGCAGTATGAAATCCCTAAGCATGAATATGTCAATGAAAAGGCCAGTAAAAGAATTGCAAAAAAATTCTAGTAGCATGAGCAGGGATGGCCAGGTGGTGTCTTTGCAAAGCCAAGCCTTTAGTAAAGCAATAAGAACAGAAAGTTCTTCCATCCTGTATTGCTTATGATTCTAGGAAGAGTATGTCCCCAGGTGAGAAAACAGGGTATCCATTTGATTAAATAGTCTTAACCTGAAGGATCCTCTTTTATCTCATTTATCTAAAGATTTCATAAATTATTTGCACAAATGATCAGAAGCAAATGTAATTGTAGCTGATAGTTTTTAAGATAACAAAATATTTTTTTCATCAATGCAGTTCTTTTATAGTATTTAAGAAGATTTTCATTGGCATCAACTCCATTTAAGATGATTAAGCCAATGAAACACTCCTTATGAACAGCCTTGCGAGATTTTATGCAGATTCTATACAGCTTCTAAGTTACCTTAGCATTAGATTTGGTTGAAAAATAGAAACTAAATTTCAAAAAAGAGTATGAATTTCTACCCAAGGGAGAAAAATTATTCTCAAAATTTACCTCCAAAATAGTTTTTTTAATGGTTTAGAAGTTACTTTTAATTCTAATATAATAATTAAAAGATAAAAATGTGTTAATGGATACACAATATAAAAAGAAGCAAATTGACTACAAAAGCACAAAGTGTGGGTGGGGGAAAGTAAAGTGTATAATTTTAATATGCAGTTGAAGTTAAGTTGTTAACATAAAATGGATAATTATAACTACAAGGTATTTTATGCAAACCTTGAGTTACCCACAAAGAAAAAAACCTATAATAGATACACAAACATAAAGGAAACATAAAAAATGAAAAGTTAAGGCAAATCACTACAAAAATCATCAAATGACAAAGCAAGACAGCAAAAGAGGAAGAGAGGCACAAACAACTGCAAAACAAATAACAATTATTGCTGTATTTGCTATTGGCACCTGGAAAATCGGGTCACTCCCACCCTAATACTGCTCTTTTCCAATGGTCTTAGCAAACGGCACACCGGGAGATTATATCCCTGGCCTGGCTTGGAGGGTCCCACGCCCATGGAGCCTCACTCATTGCTAGCACAGCAGTCTGAGATCAAAATAGTTTTCTAATTGTGTTAATTGAATGTTAAATGTATTTTTTACACAGTAAGAACTTCTACTTGATAGAATTAAATTTCCTCTATTTTAAGATTAGACCAAATAATATACAAAATCATTGAGAAATAAAATACATTTTTCTGTGTTCATATAGTTAAACCACTAGCTATTATGAACCAATAAAGTTTCATGTATACAACCAAAATGAACATAATCATTAAGTGTGCATAGCATATTTATCAGCAATTGCAGCACATATTTATTACAACAATAGGGTATGTTGTGTTTAATGTACCTCTTAATTAAAAATGAAGAACCCCATTGTTTTCTCCTATGTATGATGACCTTAATTTGATACTCTTAGAAGGATTAAAGAAATGAAAATATTATCCTGCACAAGCCTGTTAAGCTTCCTTACATATCTGTGAACACATCAGACTTGTTCTCAAGTCAGGATTGTTATACTTGTGAATCCCTGTTCCTGAGATCTCTTTTTCCCAAATATACAGGAGGCTCACTCCCTTTCCTCCTCCATGTATTTGCACAAGTATCACTTTTTCATTGAGGCCTTCTCTGAACACACTATTTAAATTGTAACTATGCCTCTGACACTCTCTGCCTTCTTTTCCTGTTTCATTAATTTTTTTTGTAATAACCACTAACAGTCTTTTAAATGCTATGGATTTTGCTTTTTTTTTGTATGCAGATTTTCTGGAACCACTAGAATAGAGATGTTTTTTGACTGTTTTGATCAGATACATATCCCTAGTACCTAGAAGTGTGCTTGGCACATGTTAAGCACTCAAAAAATACATAATTGTTGAAAAGATAAAATGGATTAAAGGTAAAATTTAAAGAAACAATGGCTGAGAATATTGCAGAACTAATGAATGTCACAAATTCTCAGATACAGAAAGCCCAATAAACTTCACATAAAATAAATAAAAAGAAGTTCATACTAGACACATCATAGTGAAACTTCAGAAAGTCAAAGACAAAGGGAAGGTCTTTAAAATTGTCAGATAAAAGGACCAGATTATCTTCAAGCTAGTTACTTGAGTCTGAGAGGTAGCTTCCGGACAGTATTGATAGACTCCTGAAGACTGAGGAGAACTTGTGAACCTAGAACTCCATACTGTAAACACATTTTTCAAGAGATATCACAAAAGAAATAGCTCTAACCTCTGACCCAGGCAATCAGGATCCTTGCCCTGGGCCCAGCATTGTACAAAGCTCCTTTCTGGCCTTGCCCTGTCCTCACCCCTCAAAATGGAGACTGATTTTGTAAACAGAACTTAGACATGCAGGCTGGGGTGTCTACACAGTATTCTTATGGTGAGGGAGGAGGCTAGGGATAGGAAGAGAATATGGAGTAAGGTATAAACTAAAATCTTCCATTTTGTCTTATGCTATGATTTCAATAAATGTTATTGATGGAATAAACAAAGACTTTTAGAGAAGTATTATGGGTGGCACATGTACAAATAAAGACCTTTTTCAGATAAACAAAATCTAGCTGTTTACCACCAGCAGATTCTTGCAAAGAAATTCTATCACTATACTTGACTCAGAAAAAAATTAGTCTTATGTAAAAGACATGTGAGGACAGAAGAAAGGAAAAGCATAGAAAAGTGTAAAAATGTGAGTAAATCTAAACAAATACTGACTATATACAATAATTAGAGTATATCGCACAGTAAAAGATATAATTGCATAACATTTACGTAGATGAATGAGTCCACATCTTTATATTTTCTGGGAGCAGGATAAAGGTATTCATTCACCTTAGAATTAGGTAAGTTTAATATTTACATTGTAGTCTTTAGAACATTCTAAAGCAGATAAATATATTCCAAAATAGGAGGAAAAATATAATGGAAAGAGTAAAAAGAATCAATTCCGAGGAGGCAAAAAAAAAAAGAAAGAAATAACATGAACCAAATAAAACAAATACAAAACTCAAAATTAGATAATAAAGAAAAACACAAATATACTAGTAATTACATTAAATGTAAATGAACTGAATGGGTCAGTGAAAATCAAATATTATCAGATGGGATTTAAAATATCCAACAGTATTCTGTTCAGTAGAGATGTGTAAGAATATAGAAAGATTAAAAGCACAATGATGAAAAAAAGAAAAAGCAAATCCTAATCAAAAGAAACTTGGTGCACCTATGTTAATGTCTAGAAAAAAAAAAAGACTCTAACAAAACAGTAGTCCTCCACCACTGGCCTGGACACAGCTTGGCTGCTCCTACCAAAGAAAAGCTTCAATACTGCTGCTGGAAATTGCCTCGGTGAATGAATTCTCCTCTCATCTTTATGTTGCTAGTGTTCGTTTCAACAACAACCCTGCGTTGTTTATGGCTGTACTATTAGTGGCTGCAGTGACTTCTTTTTTGGATCCTTGAGTAGGAAAAATGCCAACAACGTTTCCTCTCTTTTTCTTTTAGTTTATTTATTTGGAGGAAAGTGGGAGGCTTTAATTATCTGGATAATTGCTTCTGGTTTGTAATTTATTAACGGATTGCACAATCTTGCAAAAAACATCATGACAAGGAGTAAGTTGTTCTAAAGAACAGAGGCAGAGTCCCAGTGTCTTGACTACCAATTACTTTATGGTTTGGATTTCTTAAGATGTAAAAAAGGAGTAATATAAAATATTGCTATGGCAAATATAAATCTTCTATTCCAACTATAGCACCAGATGCTAAGATTCATAGAAATTACTACTTAGAAGGATTTCACCTTTCCTTTTTATGCCTTTCTCTGAATGGGATTTCTGATTTATTGTTACATCTACAAGAAAACTACCTAAAATAACCTTAAATAATTAAAAGTATAAAATTCAATCTCACAAAGACAAATAGGTTGTCTCACATCTTCCCCCAAGTCACACAGCATTGAGCCATTTGTGATACGAAGTTCTGCCTAACAGTGATCCCTTAGCCTAAACTATCACTACAAGGCAGCTGGCAATTTGACAGGGAGAGACAAGCTGATAGCTTTTCCTCAAACATCAAGCATGCACTGTGTTTGCAGTGCCAAGCTGGATTTGACATTTAATTAAAAAAAGTATCTTAACATAGGTCTACACAAAAATCGAGGCTGTTGCAACAAAATCAATTTTGTCTTATTTAAAGCTGGAAAAGCTTGATGCCCCAAAGGCAGAATTTTTATAAGAAAAGTATCACTGCTCTACCAGCGGGAATACTGAGGGTATTAAAAATAATGTATTTTGACTAGTTTATGGCATTGGACTTGGCTCAGGACTGCATATAATAACTGTTTATTAAACAAGTTGAGCTGCTATAAATAAAAGAATCCGTTGCTATAATTAGCTTGTGATTCGTACAAAAGTATAATCAGCTTCATACAAAAAATATATTTATACATACATACATACACGGGTCTATATACACATATGTATGTGTCACTGTATATAGACACACATTCACATACACACACATACACATACACATATATGTGCTCATAAAAAGATTTTCGGAAACAATAATACTTTGATCATATTTTGCAGAACACATATACATGCGTTCTTATAATATATTTAGTGATAAGCAGAATCAATATAGTTTCATCATATTATCAAACTAACCAAATGAAAGGTTAATATAGTTAAGCATGTCAACAAGAATTAAAAAAACAGAAAAATTTTGTTAGAGAAATAATATTTTTCAGTCTCATGCTGTTCAGTATATTTGGCTTATTTGTTTGTGTTTGATTTCTTGCAGGGTGAAGAAAACATAATATTCTTTATTAACCATTTCATATCAAAATACTTAGGATATAATGAGAAACTATGTCAAATTTAAAGTGTAGCTAAAAATTTCACTTTTTAAACATTGTATAGTTAAAATTTTCACTTTTTAACTATAAAATTAATTTCACCATCTCTTTATTAAATCGTAAGTATGAAGTAACAAATATCAAGTCTGGCATACAACACATTGTTCACACTTGCTGGATTACTAGTTGTCCAGTTGTCTGCTTTGCACTGTTGGTGCCCACTTCTAAGGACTCCTCTAGAGTGCAGAGAAGTCAGAAACTACGTTTCCCAGAATACCCTTTCTTATATATGATTCCAAGTTAGAGTTTAACAATAAAAGGAACTTGCGCACATTTAGAAGAAGTTACAGTTCCCTCAGGAAGTCATGATAGACACACGCCAGTGCTTCAAATATCTCCCTGATGTCCCTGTTTCTCTGTGAACACTAGAACTTGAAGTAATTCCCCAGCCAACAATGGAGTCCTCTTGTTCAGTGCTTCAGGCTAATGTCAGCAGTGACTGGTTCTTGACCCTCTGAACCTACATTACCATCCCTCTACTCACTAATTACCCCACGCCCCACCTCCTTCTCACATTCCCATATCCTCAGCTTCTACATTAATTACTTTCTTTTCTCAATTCTTAGAGCAGTTCTGGTTTCCTAACCAAACTGAGACTAATACACCTTTACCCAAAAAGATAATAGATGCTATGTATTAGAACATTACAGCAGTGCGATCTCAAGGCAGGTTTGGTACAACATTCCAAAAACAATAAACAAACATCTAAAATTGTCTCTCCTTTTAAAGGTTAATGACTTCAGTAAGAGATGTTGATGGCCTTTGAGGGTAATACTTTATTTTCTATTGCTTATAAAGGTCTGAAGTGATGCTTCTTTAAGCTGCTACCAATCATGTACTTGCTAGTGTAAATGAAAAACATTAGCTAGAACCCTCAGCCATGACCACGCCATTAAAATGAGTTTTAAGGCCTTACACATATACCTGAGCTACAATTTTCCCCAAAGCAGAGAAAGGGGACTACCATTCACTTTTCTATTAAGATAGAATTTAAAAGAAGCTTTTATAATGATGTTACAATTTTATAAAACTTGGACTCATTTATTTCACATACAGCTATTATTTCGTCCTTTTCTCCTCTACTATAAACAACCTTAAAGGCAGACAAAAAACTTGTTCATCCTTCTCAAAGTTTTTTCATGAGTATATACTCTATGAAATTTTAAATAATAATAATAAAGTGAAAACACAGAAAGCTTGAAAGTATTCCCTAATGGAAGGACTAGTAAGATTTCAGTCAAATTATATATTTACATAATTTATTGGATTCATCCACAACGAGGTAAAAATAATAAAAAACATATTTCTTCCTTTAAACAGGAAGTCAAAAATGATCTCTTATTATCTCTCCCTCTCTCTCTCTTTCTCTTTCTCTCTCTCTCTCTCTCACACACACACACACACACACACACACTTATAAAACCATTTAAGGTTTAAATGTTACTAACTGGCATCATATGTTTTGCAACCTTTAATTCTCAAAACAATCTTATATTGGTGGGAGGAATAAATGCAGACTTCTGAAATTTCAATTTCTTTATGAAGCCTTGATTTCCATCTCTAACAGAATTTCACTCTCCCTTCACTGAGCCCCCGTGTTCTATGTGGATTTTGACCACAGCGACATAATCACTTAATATTTGTTTTGTTTCCTCTATTACACTGTAAACTTCTTGAAGAAAAAGGTATTTCTAGCTCTAAATGGATGCTTGTTGAACGAATACATAAATGAGAAACTAGTTTTTCTCTGTGAAGTTGGAAGCAATAGCATCAACTTAGAGTTATGAAAAAAAAGATGAATAGACATCAAAGAAGGACAAGCAGGCTTAGAATAGAACACTTCACATTCATAGTGCAAGCCAAGGAAAGCCCACAAAGAAGATGAATTCAGACAATGGTGACAAATAATATTTTTGCTCCCTACTTCTGTTCAAAAGTTAACAGTATGCTTCCTCCTTCCATCTCTCTCTACATTCCCCACTATCTACTGATTCCATTAAAATGAAGGCCATGTTTTTATTTTATATCTGTTAGAGAAGAGATTTTCTCTAAAGCAATAGAATTAGAAGGGTAAAATATTGGAAAAAAATAATAAAGAGTAATCTAATAAAGAATGAACTCTAATAAAGAGTTCACAGAAGTCCACTTCATTTGTGGCAGTATGATTGAATGAGCGCACCTCTGGTTAAGGAGTGAGGGTCAGAAACTTTCAAGGTTCTGTTAGAGGGATGTTGGATATTGTGCTTTGGAGCTGACACAATGAAGTATAGCATTAGACTGGGAGAAGGCCTTCTCCCTGCCTCTAGCGAGATCAGAATCATTCCAATATCCCAAAGATGAGAATTTCTCAGATTATCTAAAAACAACTTACTTACTAGGGATGTCAGCATTTTAGGATGGAACAATGGTGAGACTTCTTACAAGCTGCTCACAGCCATGGGCAAATGGTAGCAGGAGCAAGACAGCAGAATCAGGGACAATTTGGCATGGAGAAAGAAGCTTATAAATTTCCATGTGGTTACTTGCAAAGTGTCATTGTCAGACTCCCAAAAATCATGACTTGACAGGGTGAAAAAGAGAGCAATGTTCATACTAGTACATAGGTCAGGGCTATAAAATCAAGATTCATTTGACTGACAAGTAAAAGGATTGCCAAATAATTTTGAGGGCCCAGCTGAAATTGGAAAGCATAAATCTGCTTCACATGACAGAATAAGGATGAAATCCATTAGAAGGTTATATCAGTGATCCAGGTAAAAATGGATGAATTTTGAATTAATACGATGTCAGTTGGAAATTAGATAAGAAAATGAATGCAAGAGGTATTCAGAGTGTAGAATCTATAACAATTTATGGCAAATTAAACATAGAATTCATTGACAGCAAGAAGGTTAGCTGTGGCTCTCACTTGTAAGGCTTGGGTAATCAGTGGTGGTTTAACTCACAGAGTCAGGGAGAAAAGGAAGAAGAGAAAATTTTATTAAAAAGATGATTTGAGGGTCAATGGCATTTACAAGGTGTTTGAAACTCTTGTAGTGCTTATGAAACCACCAAGAAAGAGTACATATAATGACGAGGGCAGCAGAACACAGGCAAATCACAGGAAAACAAAACATAAGGGATACGTGTATAAAGAAGACAGGGCATATGAAAGTAAAATGAAAATCAAGAGACTGTGATGACAAAAAAGCGAAGGAAGAGAAATTTTCAAGAAGGGAGTGTTCCACTGGTTTAAATTTTGCTGAAACTTCAATGTAGTACAAGGTATGCAAGCACTTAATTAACTTTACAAGGCAGCTCAGCAAAACCAATATGATTGTGACATAAAGGCAAGAGGTAGATAGAGGGCTGAGTGATTAATTTTGACTAGGAACACTTTCTTTGTACACTCCCCAGAGAAATCGCACCAATATAGCAATAACTAAACGAGTGAATTCCAAATGTTTTGATCACAAATACATCTCAGTAAAAATAAAATTAAACATAATTATTACAGGCTTATTTTAGAACATCATGAATATAATCATTGATAGAAAAAGTACTTTGAAATAAATAAAGCCCATAGAAAATCAAGTGTAGAAGAATATAAAATTGTGGACCCAGAGAGTGAAATCTGAGGAAGAGTGTTTTGATTGAAAGTGAGCACAATCTTACTATGTCATCCGTTACAACGTTCTTTGCCATAGTCAATTCAAGGTTTAAGAAAGATTCAAAGAGAGAAACAGAGTGTTACTATTGAAGAAATATATATTTAAAAATTCGGCTATCAAGAATGTATCCATAATAATTTCCTAATACAGATTCAGAGGCAAGCTATTATAGTTATTATGATAGCCCATCTCTCCAGATATTTGTTGGAAATTCCCATTTTGTTGAAAGTTTTATTTTTCCAAGCTTAGGAAATATGTCCAATTTTAAACATTATCACCAGAGACATCTAAAATTAGATATGGGGGTCCCTGGTACACTTTTATCATTTTAAAATGCTTGAAAATAACTGAATACTTAAGAATAACTACATATAACCTACTATTTTGGTTTGGAAATAAAGTATTATGAGCAATGCATTTTAATGGGAAAACAATGAGAAAAGGGCTTTTGTGATAAAAATGAAGAATTATTTACTGATTCATTTCTAATGACTTCACAGTGATGAACAAGAAGGAATAACTTGATGAGGAAGAAATGGCAACTGAGAGAGAAAGTAATTTTGTCATCATAGAATTTTGATAGCCATGAAATTGAAGACTGGGCATAATGATTAATTTATTCTCGACTTTGGGAAGACAGACTTCTAAAAATTCGGGTAGAAAGAATGTGCTAATTCATATCTCAGAGTGGACAATTATTCAAGCAATCGAATGCTCTCAGAGAAAGTATTTCTGGCTATGTAGTTATTTGTGAGGAAGAAAAATAAGATTTATCTTAAAAATTTATTACATTTGCCACTGATCTTCCTGCAAATTAAATTCTGGAAGAATATTTACATTGATATGAAAACAAGAACATGTAATAAGATGTAAATAAAACAAAAACCAATATGAAAGTTAGTGAGTATCACAGAATTGTAAGAATAGTATTAGCTGAGGCTTGTAACAATTTTTGAAAATTTAAAGTTTGTTTTTGTTAAATACACGAGAACAAAGTTAACAATAAATGGATAGGTTCACTGCCTGGAGTTGATGGTATTAAGTTAATGGGTAACATTGCAAAAATACATGACACCATATTGTTTCTGTGTTTTCCATAAATGGAAAAAGGGAAAATTTGCAAGGGTAAATGGAAAACTAAGACTAGAAAAATGATGATTAAAATGCTTCTCACTGCTCTATATGAGGTCAAGTCTCTTGGCTGGGAAAAATGTCATTTGAGGAGACTATAAGTAATTGTAGATGGGATTGTTTGAATATGATGATAAATCTTTGAGTAATTACGAGGAAATGAAAATACATCAAAACAATAAAAATTGGAAAATTTGTTTTTTTTGTTTTTTCTGAAGGGAAAAGAATCGTGATGGGACATATAAGATTAATATTTGAAAAAGAAGAGCTGGCAACTAAAAACCAAATGGACTTATGAGGAAAACATTAATATTTTCTATTCAATATTCTCAACATTGTCAAGTTGAGAAACTGTAGTAAACATCTGGAGACAGGGATTAAAAGCAAGATTTAAGTTTGTTGAAAAAATGTAGCTGAGGTATTGAGGAAGAAGTTAAATAATGGAATCGGTGTCTAAAATATACTAGTGGAAAGAAAATAAAAAGAGCAAGTTTATTATGAAAATAATGTGTGGCACTTTCACAACAAGTCTGTGAAATAGATAGTGTATATACTTAAAGTTAATAAAATTGAGTCTTAGAGGAAATTATTAACCTGCACTGGGTCATTCAGCTGGTAGTGGAAAAACTAAAATACAAATCTACATCTTGCCGACTTCAAAGCCTGGGTTAGATTGCTCTGCCTTAAGTACAGTTCAGAAAACTAAAACGTTCAAAAACGTGGCTAAATGGGATGAACGAAAAGACATGTACTTTATGACACACATTTAAAGTATCCAATTGAATAAAAAGAAGAAAGATATTGTTTAAGAGCGGCACATTTTATGTGAAAATACATTGTTTTATCCATTTATTTATATGCTTATTGAACAAATACCTATTGAGCACCTACTGTCTAATCAAGTTTTATTTTAACTTTTCAGGATCAAATGATGAACAAAATATACAATATATCCTGACATTTGATATCTACTACTAGAAAGGAGAGGGAGTTAACAAACATTATAATTACTAAATTATATGGGATGTTACATGGTGAATTTTATGTTAAGTAAAAAATATAATAGGCTAGGCGCAGTGGCTCACGCCTGTAATCCCAGCACTTTGGGAGGCCGAGGCAGGCGGATCACGAGGTCAGGAGATGGAGACCATCCTGGCTAACACCGTGAGACCCCGTCTCTACTAAAAATACAAAAAATTAGCCGGGCGTGGTGGCGGGCGCCTGTAGTCCCAGCTACTCGGGAAGCTGAGGCAGGAGAATGGCGTGAACCCAGGAGGCGGAGCTTGCAGTGAGCCGAGATGTTGCCACTGCACTCCAGCCTAGACGACAGAGTGAGGCTCCGTCTCAAAAATAGTAATAAATAATAATAATAATAAGGCAGGGAAAAGAGATAGGAAGATTGAAAGAAGAGTTTTTCAATTCCAGATAGAGCATTATATAGGCCTCCTGGAGAAGATGACTTTCCAGTAAAGGCATGAAAGAGTTGAGAAAATGTGGAGAACAGATATATGTTAAATAAAACTTCAAAAAGAGAGAATAGCTCCTGCAAAAAATCCCTTAGGCAGCAGCATCTGTAAAATGTTTCAAGAGTATTGGGAAGTGAATGTGGTGGAAATTGTATTTGGTGAGGAGGAAAGAGGTGGGAAGTAATAGCAGGTAAGAAGGGGAGCATTAGGCTACACTGCATAGGTGATTGGAAACAGTGTCAGTCATGTGCCAGGCAAATTAATACCCAATAGAATTCCACGAGCTAGGCATTGACATCTGGGTTAGACTTCCTTCTAATATG